>NC_000006.12:96434426-96585941 GCF_000001405.40 Homo sapiens | reverse complement strand
ACAAGTTTCAGTTAACACAGCATTGTGCAAATAAATACGCTACTTATATGTGTCTTATTACTTTCCTGCTATAGATTACATGTTTTTAAAGAGGGCTTTTACTTTCTTATGGTAAAGTTGAAGTGCACTAGGATATAATTACGGTCTTCTGGTTTCCAATAATGACTCTCTGTTCATGTGTTTTTGAGGAATTTTACTTTTGTGCTATAATTTCAGGGAGGTGAATTACCATATATTCTTATTCTAAATACCAATTATAAGTTACTGCATTGATTTGATTGCAGCTTTTTGTTCCCCATGGAGATAGGTAACACCATATAAAATAATCACATTGATATGTGTCTTAAAATACAGGATATAGAGTAGGGTTTTTTTTTAAGATTACTTTTTTCTCTAATATATGATCTGTAAATTTTACTAAATAAATGCAAATAGCACCATAATTATTACTTTTGCATATAAGCAAAAGTGCACTGCCCTTTAATGTAAAGTCTGCTGGGCTTTCTGGTTTAATTTTCATCTGGTTATTCAAAGTAGTTTTACCTGTATAAATATATCTATGCTCAGCTGGGATTGCCGCATGGCTATCCCAATTGCCTATTCAGGTCTTTATTTGATTCTGTAAAGTAGATTTTTTCTTTTTTCTTTAGGGAAGTACTTGGAAGAATTTAAATTTAAATGGTGTAAAGAATATTAAAATGCTCTTGGGAAGACCTAATGCAAACTGTTGAAGTCTTTGAAACTTGTGTGATTGACATACAAAACTTGAATAGAGACAGAAACTGGATGAAGAATCTAGGTTTAATCTACAATTAACTGGATTTACCTGTGGTCATTTTCTTGTTCAGGGTTTTAATTTGAATCATTGCTCTTAAGGGCAAAAGGTGACTGATGGACAGTCAGTAGGATTTTCGAAGCCTGACTGAGCAAGGTATACTGCTCTATTCTCTACAAAGGGTTGCTGAAAACATCTGCAGTGCATAGTTAGACAATACACCTAGTCTCCTAAGGCAAATGTTTCATTCTCTTTTCCTCCCTACACTCCCCACACATTTATGGGTTACCACATCCTATTAATTCTACCTTAGAAGCATTATTTAAATATTAGTTTAATTAGGCTTTCCTCACATATCTGGTGGACCATATTGGCTTACATTGAACTGAAAATATTACATATTTCTTTATTTAGAGGAACTAAGCACATGTCTACTACATGACTTTGTTCTCTAATGATAAATTCAATTTTCCTGGAGAATTCCAGAACATCCTCCATGATGCTTGATAAAAATCTCACTCAGCCTCATCTGATCATCTTTCTCTGGTGAAAAACTTCCAACAGCTCTTCTTCGACTATAAAATCTAAACTCAACTACTTAGCATAGAGATCTTTGATTATCTTCTCATTTCTACTTGTCTCACTATCTCCAGCCCTTTCCCCACCCCAGACTTTCCAACACACACACACACACACACACACACAAACACACACACACACACACACACACATATCCCACCTGTGCTTCAGCCACTTCCAGTGTCTCCCTATTCCTCAAATACACTCTGTTCCATTATGCGTTTCAGTTGTCACACATGACTCCTCTTCTATTTCTAATGTACTTCTCTTTGCTCCCCATCTACCTCATCCATCCAACCTGATGATTATCCTCATCGGTCAAGGTCCAGTGAAAAATCCTTCTCTCTGTAGCATTTTCATATATTTCAGGGCAGAGTGGTTGTTCTCATTAGTTCATATTTATGTCTGTCTTTCTTTTGCCACATTTTGTAACAGTTGTTTTGTCCTATGTATGTCTTTCTCACACCACTATTAGCTCCTCAAGGCTAAGGATGCTGCTTACTTTATCTCTGTATCTCAGGAGGCGTAGCATGATCTCAGTAAATGTTTTAGGACTGAATAATTGAACAAATAGAAACTTCTTGTTCTTTAAGAACTTGGAATCCAAAACAAGCACTAATGAAAACACATATACGAAAAGAATTCTATGAATAGAATAAAGGATAAAAACTTGAATATAAAACAGTTAAGAATTTGCATGTTATGTATTTACTTGAATGGTGAATTAATTCATATCTGTTACACGTATAGCAAATATGTCAAAGGACGGAGCATAACAGCTAGGGAATAAAAGTTAAAGCCCTAAGGTCCTGCCATGGCAGGGAGAGTTTTTTACTTTTTCTGTGAGGGTGACTGAAGAAGGCAGCCTTTGATATTCAATTGCCCTTTGAATATCAGCCAAGGAAGATATCAAAGAAACAGCAAAAGTAGGTGGTTAATCTGTTGACAAGATTAAAGGGCTTTTCTCTAAACTTCGGGCACCAATGAGCTTCCACTAACAGTTTAAACTGTTCGATCAGATACTTCAGTTCTCTGTTGGGAGCTGCATGAGCCTTTCTGGTCTATGCATAAAACTTTGGAGGCTACCGTATCGTGACAGGACTGCGAAGTCATTGTCCATTGATATCTATGATGTTAACTGAAATGTTGGTGCAATGAGTGGCTGAATTTGACAAAATTTAGGGGAGTTAAATTAGTTATATGAGAAAATTAAATCCTCCACATTTATTATTAGTCTGTAAACTAGGCCAGATGGGATACATGCACATTCTACAGTAGAAAAATTTAAAATTCACGTATTTTAAAACTACGAAAAAGTTAGAATAATTAGTAAATAGGCTCTACTTTTAGAATTTCATTTTCTTTTTTTCCACTTGGTTCTGAGGGTCAAGTTGAACAGATCTGTGTGTACTTCCTTATTTGTTTTTTGCTTGAAACCAAAGACATAAATACCAAGAAGAGCATTGGGTTAAAAATCAAAAGCTACAGATTCTCGTGCTGGTTGTTTTAGCCCTAGCGTATAGTTTGTCCACAGTTATGAAAGCCATGTAACTTTTCTGGCCCTTTCTTTACCTCTGAAATGAGAATTATATTAATTGCTTATGATCCCACTCAAGGATCAAGTGAGATGTAAGAATGGAAAAGTCATGGGTAAGTCAGTTGTAGGTGTACTTGGCTTGATGGAAAATGTGCAATTAAATTATAACTGTAATTTGCATTTTGAAGAAGGAGGCTCTTTCCATTCCCCCTCCCAAATGCTACTTAAAAAAAACTCAACAAACAATCTTAAAAATAACTTAAGCCATAACTTCAGGCCATCAATCAAAAATAACCTAAAACAAGCATCATAGAATTGTGGTGGAATGTTTGATATTAGTCTCTAGGGACATATTTGCAAGCACAGTTTGTTGGAAGCTGAATGTCTTGTGTGGAAAGGTTGAACACAAATTCTCCAGAGAGCTGATGAACTACTCTCCCATGAAACAAAACAGCTGACTAGAGCTTTCCATTTGGCTAATTTCTTCTCTGGACACTAACGAAGAAAAAAAAAAGTGCTTCATATGGTTTTCTTGGAGAGTTTACATTTAGAATCATGTAATTATGGCAGCTATTACTGAAATAGAAGTAAAATACAGTATATAATAGCATATAACAATATTTTATCAAACATTCTTTAAGAAATAAAAAAGAAGGGCTTTTAAAAAATACGTAGGTTTAATATCATCCTTTTTTTTTCTCACTGGGATATAAGAAAATTTTCAAGACCATGAGAGTATTGCCTTTGAAGATAAAATTGGATTATCTAGGACTCTGTCTAACCAGAGCCCAACCTTCTGCTTTTAAATCTACCATTAGTCTTGCTTCTGCAATGTTAATTCCAAAGAAACCGCAATCATTTCAGCAGATATAAGTCTGCCCTTCTACTCCCTTCAAACCTGCTCTGTTATTCATTTTAAAGATGTTCTGGAAGAGCCAATATAGTTGCTGGGTTGCCTCAGGGTCTCCTCAAAGGCTTGTTTGAGGATCTGATTTAGTGACAAGGTTTAGTATAGGTAAGGACAAGACTAAAAATACAATTTATCTAAAAGTATTCAGCATAGGCTCAGCACATGGTTGGGGCAGGGTGTTTCTTGTATATGAATCCTCAAATCAACACTGTTTCCTGGAGATTGAGTCTGTAGATGGATGCTATAGATCTAATATAAATCAGCAAGTATTCCCCTCCACCTCTTCATGCTCCTTGGAAAATTCAACAAGTATTCTATAACATTTTTTTAAGACTATTAATTGTGCCAGGGTTTTTAAAAAATGTTTTACTTTCATTTGCTTTTCTATTTGGAGATCACCTTCATTATCCTCTGAATTCTGGTAGCTGTTTTCAGCAGTGCAGAGAGGCCCCTCATTGATTCACCTACTTAACACCGTTTCTACCAGCTTTCACTTGCCATTTGATGGGGAAGTTCTTCCTGTTGCATGAAATGGCAAGTGCAAGCTTATCTAGTAAGAAGTATAATCTGCCATTGCAGAAACTAAGTCTCCTGAGGAAGGATGAAACCTGTAACACAGGCCCCATCTGTAACACACATTGATCAGCTGAATAACTCCCACAGGGCCAGGTATTTAGGTGGCATAAGATAACATAAACATTTTGCCATGGTCTGGAAGTGTGTGTTTTATCAGAAAGAAAAAACAATGGCTTTTGTGTCTTTCATTTTCCATTCATGTGTTTAGTATCATGATTTATGAAAAGATTGTAAATTGGTTACTATGAAGCCAAGATGGCTATTTTATTTTCCTAGATGTTACAAATTTTAATTTCTGTCAATAATGAGTGATGAGAAAAATAAATCCTTATTCAATTAAGTCACCTTAAATGGAGGACAAATATATTGAATTTAATTCAATGGCTTCAGGGAAAGTTCAGTTAATAACCCTGGATCCAGGAATTTAGAGGAACTCTGCAGAGTGCTCCAGTCACCACAGCTAGTCAGTTCATCTTGACCCTATATAATGTTGAAAAATTTATACTCCCTAAAATATGGGAGAATCAAGAAATTATTTTCTATGATTTTCTTTAAAACAAATATGTTTTCAAATATAAGCAATAAACAGTTTCTCTTCTAGTAGTACATGGATAGTATTGGAAGCTGTCCAGTAAAATGAAGAGTGTACTTTATTTGGAAGGTGGCCAATACAAAATGATAGATGTGGTTATATATTCTTTATCTAATAGAGCCTATAAAGCAGTTTTAAAAAATCTATGATTTACCTAAATAGCAACTCCAGTTAAACAAATTAGTTAGGAAGAACTTTCAGCTATTCAACTAAGAGCAATAAATAAGATTTCAAAATCAATCACATAATTCTTTTCTGAGATTATGCCAAGACTAACCATATAATATATTGGCTTTCATTTATCCTGGCATTAATGTGTATTATAGATTCTGTTGGTTTATGACCTCCTTAAAATGCATAAAACATAGTGATAAAAGGAGAGTTCATTTCTGGGTCTTTTTAAAGAACAGCCTGTCAACATGTTCTGTTCTACTTCTGGCTTAAACCTTTTTCAATTCTGAGGTCCATAAGGGCACATTTATAAGTTGTATTATTATGATATGTTTAATGAAAGCCCTTTGTGTTTCTATTAGATACTTTTTATATTCTACCTTCTCATATAAATGTTATGGAGCTTGTTGTATCCCTTCTAACTGAATTGTAAACTCATTGAGAGCAACCATTATATCTTACTCATTTCTATACTTCAATTAGAGCCAAGCAATAGCCATTGTATACTGGGTGATCTCTAAAAAGGTCTTGGATAAAACTGATGACAACTTGTAAAGGATTTCTACTTAATTGAAAGTGATGATGGCTCAAGGCCAAGAAAACATGCTGCAGCACGAGGTAGAACTTTCTTTTGGGAGACATCATTATGATTCCATAGTAACTACAAGCAGTCTAGGTAAGGGTGTGGTAAGCATCCTTTCTTTGATTTACAGGGAGAAGTCTCCAGATATATTCGGTTTCTTTTCCTTTGAACTGGTGGGCCAAGTTGAAGGATACAAGTATCCTATCTCTTTGCAAGTCTACCAGCAGTTTTACTGGTGGATGTCTCTTTAAACCTTTTTATTCCTTTTTCAGAAATAGTGGTCCCTACAGACTTTAGACTCTTACTGAGTCTGCAGAAGGCTGGGGAGGGAAGGGCTAGACTTTGATAACAGGAGTCCTATCTGTCCTTTTACAGACCTGGGGAGACCTCAACCCCAGACACTTCTGTAGAGCCCAGCAGCCTGTCACTAAGAGTTTGTCATAAAGCATAATGTATCCCTTGTCATATACATGAAGTTTCAAATTTACCTCCCAATTCTTAACTACCAGTTGACAATTTTCATGACTTTTTGGGCATAGGTCACAGTAACAGTTTATAAAACCACTCCATTATTAGCATTGTATTAGGCATTATGACAATATCAAAATACACACATGGTACATGGCAAAATCATGACATTTATAATCTACCTTGCAAGTTCGTATGTTGGAAATTATATCCATACATGGTACCTTAGAGCAATATGTACTATCTGTTGTACTATCTAATACAATAGTATAGTACATATTGAAATGTCTTTAAAACTATTGTGAATTATACAAATGCCAACATTATTGACACAATGTATAGGAAATAATGATAGCTAGCATATACAAAAATATTTTATTAAATTTGTTGTATATATAATTTGTTATAATGGTACTGTAACATTTGGTACTGATCAAAATCAAACGTGCCTTCCTATCAACTGACATCAAAAGTAAAAATACCAAGAGACATTCTTGAAGAAACTGTATGAAACAGTATGATAAAGAGACAATTAAGGAAGGTAGCAAAATTCATTTTTTCATGATGCAGAATTTGTACCTTTGGAATTTTGTACCAAATGAATGAGTTGCCTATTTCAAATATTAATTAAAATCTTCATAAGAAGACTGAACTTATTCCACTTGAGTCTCCCGTTCTTTATCATAGAATTCAAGAACTAGAAGAAAAGGTTAGTTTCAAGTCCTCATTTTACAGATTTGAAAACTAAGCTCCAAAGAAAGTACTAATACAGCCAGTCTCTCTTTTCAGAAAAATTAGAAAAAATGAAATACATCTACAAAATGAAATTTCGCAAATACTTAGTAGAAAATACCCACATAACTAATCCAAATCAATTTTTATTTTATTTTTATTTATTTATTTTTTTTTGAGACAGGGTCTCACTCTGTGGCTGAGGCTGAAGTGCAGTGGCACAATCTCGGCTCACTGCAGCTTCCGCCTCCCAGGTTCAAGCGATTCTTGTGTCTCAGCCTCCGGAGTAGCTGGGACTACAGGCGCATGCCACTATACCTGGCTTATTTTTGTATTTTTTGTAGAGATGGGGTTTCGACACGTTGGCCAGGGTAGTCTCGAACTCCTGACCTCAAGTGATTCTCCCACCTCGACCTCCCAAAGTGCTGGGATTACAGGCGTGAGCCACTGTGCGTGGTGCCAAATCAATTTTAACAAGCTTCTTTTTAGACTAGATTGCCAGTTTGCAATGATTGACTTATTTAGGACCACGTTGTTAACAGAAGTAAAAGAGAAGATCAGCCAAAATTAGATGCCAGTTTAGTGACTCATTTAAAGACAACTTACATTTCTCGTTTTGGTTATTTTGTACAATTTGTCTCTCAGCTTTGCTCTTTATGACCTTGTTTTCTTAAGAAGAAAAAAAATTAACTTCTACTTTGCAGTAAATTAATTGTGCAATCAGTGAGTCTTTTCTGTAATAGTTTACTATAAATCAAATCTCAATCATTGGAATAAGAATAATGAGAAGGAGAAAGAGGAAAGGAGGGGAAGAGCAGAGAGGAGAATTGTAGGAAAACTCAGAAAAAAGAAATCTCTCATTAGTATGGTGTAAGATATTTAGAGATAAAGCCTCTTAATGCTGCAGTCATTTTGTTATACTTCCTACACTTCTGATCCAAGTCCATTTTCACAGAACCACCAAATCTAAAAGCTGGGAGGGATTTTTGAAATTCTCTAGTTTCATTTATAATTCTAATCTAACAAATGACAAAAACTGAGTTCAGAGAGGCGAACTGACTTTTTTTTTTTTTTTTTGAAAGAAGAAGCTGACAAACTAGTAAAAAAGCCTCAACCAGAATTCAGGTTTCCAGGCTTCTCACAGAAGCCATTTGTTTTGTTTTCCACGTAGAAGTTGGTAAAAAGGTAAAAAGCTTGTTTAAAATGACAGCTTTAGTTAGGCTGTAATTTTTCAAAACATAGAAAAAGATGAAAACTTTCTCTCCTTATTTGCATCTATCCTTCTAAGTTTTAATTGTTGACCAAGTAACAGCTTCATAAGCATGAGCAGAGAGGTTCATTCCATGCCTAAAACCAAGCTGCTTCTAGCTGTACAAAATGAAATAGCTATCTTCAAAAGGAAGTACAAATCCCCTGTAACATTTGGGGCAACTCAAGTTACTATTGGATTACTGTGAAAGTTGGAAAGATAAGCCCAAAATCATATTTGGCTTTATTTTCTGCATTCTCATCTGATAAAATGAGGTTAGTGATGTGTGTACATGTGTGGTGTATGGGTGTGTATTTGTGAGAATGTGTGTTGTGTGGGATGTGTGTGTCTGTGTGTATGTATTTGTGAGAATGTGTACTGTGTGTATGTGTGTTGGGGGGGTGTTTGAGTTGGGGTTGAATGGTGGAGATTGATGTTAACTAGTTTTTCCAGTATCTATACCTGAAGCAAAATAATCTGCCTCTTGCCAGAATGTGATTTTAAAAGGTACAAGGCAAAGCTGTATCCTGTGCTTTGGTGATAACACTAATCAATAATTACAAGCTATTCTTTTGACAGTTTAAAATTTGTTGATGATGTTGGTGGTGGGAGTTGGCCATTTGATATTTAAAGCCAGCTTTAATTTAATTTAATTTAATTTTTATCTGTTTTCCCTCTCAGAAATTTAGGCAAAGTTGATTCTCAGCATCCATCAAAGGAAAATGATCATAGCCAAAATACTTGGAGCTTTCACTCAGCAGTTGTATGTTTGAGGCTTTGGAAACACAACATGTTGATCTCAGGTTTTTATGCTAATTCTGTATATAAGGAAATGGGGAAAATCTGTTACCATTCCCTTGGAAACCAAAGTGTTCACAGTATTAGTAGCTAAATATGGTTACAATTTAGTGTTAATCTTCATTCTAAACATCACTTAATATGTGAATTCTTAAGGCATGCCAATGCATCACACAGAGCAGAGACCTTTCTTGTCCTGTTTAGGGTTGTGTCCGTGGCACCTACAAGACAGCCTGGCACAAATACATGCTGAATGAATGCAGAAAGGAAGAAGTCAGATGTTTGGTTCTAGAATCCTGTCTGTCTTTTTCACTTTAAACAGCTCCCTGAATATATATGTTATCAAACAGCTCCCTGAATATATACACTTTAGTTCTGTAGGTTTCATAAAAAGCTCTTGAGGGCCAACTCTGGGCCATCCATGGTGCTTGGCAGTAAAGTAAAGGTCTTTACCTATGAAAAGCTTACGTGGTAGCCTGGGAGAGGGACATTCAAATATTCTCTTCACTCCGTCACTCTTCTGCAAGATAAGGACCTGGCTGCATGTTCGTGTGGTTCTTGGTACTTTACCACCCACAGTATGCTTTATCTCTGGCTAATTGTGTTTCCTGATCAACAGAAAAGACAGGGAAGATACTATGTTTGCCAGCAGACTCCTGGTGTCTAGTTTATTACCAGCATACGCTGAAGGCTCAGTAAATATTTGCAGATGGAAGAGAGTGAGAGAAGAATGAGAGAGGTCCTGTGGAAAAGTGTGAAGGTATGCACAGGCTACTCTGGGTATTTTAGGAAGTTTCTGGAAAACTTCAGGTAAAGCTTCTTTTAGAGCTGTGCCTTGAAGGTTGAATAAAAGGTAGTCTCGAAGACAAAGTAGGTGGAGGTTCCTAAGCTGAGGGCCGTCCACACAGTTGTGGAGGTAGTGACTTAGCATGAGCAGGGGAGTGGTCTGCAAGCTCACAAGCACCACTAGAACTGGAGGGTGGTATCCATACTTGGATAACAAAAAGGTCACATATAAAACTAGTTCTTTTTACATGTCAGAGCTTTAAAAACTTAACTACACATTGCTATGGATTTATTTGGCCCACTGTTTTCTTTTTGGCCAACTAAACACCATACTGAAAAGGTAGATCTATGACGTATTCTGTTAACTAAAAGTCTCTCTTGGTATTTCAACAATTTTCACTGACATCCTAAATTTAAAACAGATCAAGAATTTTTTTTTGAGTTAAAGATCGTAAGAGAGAACTTCTCATTCCCCCTGGTTTCTGTGCTTGCCCTTTAAAGGAGTTTCTCTCTTTTGAAAGTATTCACTCATTCTATGCCACTTGAGGAGTGACTTAACTGGTAAGTAACTGGGCAAAAGGCACTTCATGTGGAGCCACATTGTTTCCCTTACTCCATTGGAAGTTGCCAAAGCATGGGCCTGTGTTCCCTCTCTGCAGTGAGTTCACTCCAACTGCTCAGTCCCAGCTCATGAGGGAGCACTGTAAGATCCAGGCTCTCTACTCCTTCTGGGAAGAAGCTCAGTTCAGGCTGGGAAGGGAAGGGCTTGGTCTCTCATGCACGTTTTGTTTTCTACTCCCGCATTAACAATAATGAGGTTGATAATAAATTGATCCATACGTGATTTATGTATCTATTTCTCATTTGCTTTAGAATTCTGAAAGGAGATATACATGATTAAGTGGAACTTTCCAATCTAAACAAATGTTACAATAAAGCTAGTTTTATTCTTGGTCTGTTTGTTGTATGTATGTGTATGTGTATTGAGAGACGGGGAGAGGAGAGGAATGAGAGAGACATACATATATTAACTTTCGTTAACCGGATGTTAAATTAGGCAGCAGGACCTATTCTCTGATGATGCTAGTTATTATAGTTTAAATGAAAATAATCTCTTGGCTCAGCTAAAAAATCAAAAGCAATAAATATGCCAACTACCTTCACTGAAATAACCATTACTTGTTATTTTAAGTGTTTTCGAAAATTTAACTTGTCACCTATTTTCTCTTTAAAGTTTATTAGCTTTTTGGATTCTGGATATTATTTTCCCAGGTGGAATTCTGATAATAACATAAATTTATTTCTACTAATCAATCTTTTTCAGATCATTTGGTATCTAAGTGAAGAATATTATAAGTGAAGTACCAGTATATATTTTAATAAGAAATTATGGTTTATAAAGTGACTTTATATATATTATTTGGAATAGTGACTCTTAACCATTTTATATTTAATAACTATTTAGCATATAATAAAAGCTATTTACCTCTTCTTAAAAATATATATGAATGCATATGTTCACAGAAATTTCTCAAACCCTGGGAAGGCAGGGTTCTTGGAATCAGGCTCTACAGTAGAGATCTGCCACTATATGTAGCTCAAGGGCCAAATCTAGCCACTGCCTGTTTTTGTATGGTCTGAAACCTAAGCATCGCTTTTACATTTTTAAATGATAAATACCAAAAGAGGAATATTTTTGACATATGAAATTTAAATATTGGTGTTCATAAGTAAAGTTTTATTGGAACACAGCCACACTCATTCATTATCATACTATCTATGGCTTATTTCCAGGTACAACAGTAGAGCTGAGTAATTTTGAAGACTAAAGTATTATCTGGCTCTTTGTAGAAAACATTTTGCTGATCCCTAATCTCAAGTTTAAAAGTACATTTTCTGCTTTTAATTGTATTTTGCTGGGTGTTTGTTAAAGTATGCTTAAGTTTAATTAGGATTTGAAAAGAACTTTCTGTACACTACTTTAAAGAATATATATTTACTAAATGGTTTTAAAAATAATACTAGAAGTCATTAACATGGTATTCGGAAGAGTATTTAATGGCATGGTGAAATGCTTATAATTCTCTAAGTGGGAAAAAAAGTGTGAAATAGAATAATCAGTATGACCTCAATTATATAATTTTTTTTTTAAGTAGAAACAAGTTTAGAAGAAAATATGCTGAAATGTTAAGGCTCTTAATTGAAGTTAAGGAGTATTTAAAATTTTACTTTTCAGTACCTTTCAAATTGTATACTGTAATCTATCACTTTGGTAATAAGGAAACATAAGAAAAATATTGAAAAAAATGGGAGTATAATTGTTTAATTTAAAAAACAATTATAGGTCAAAAATTAGAATATTTTGGGCCAGACGCGGTGGTTCATGCCTGTAATCCCAACACTCTGGGAGGCTGATGTGGGCGGATCATGAGGTCAGGAGATCGAGACCAACTTGGCTAACATGGTGAAACCCCGTCTCTACTAAAAATACAAAAAGTTAGCTGGGCGTGTTGGCGGGCACCTGTAGTCCCAGCTACTAGGGAGGCTGAGGCAGGAGAATGGCGTGAACCCGGGAGGTGGAGCTTGCAGTGAGCCGAGATTGCGCCACTGCACTCCAGCCTGGGCCTCCGTCTCAAAAAAAAAAAAAAAAAAAAAAAATTAGAATATTTTGTGATAGTGTGACTATCAAAATGTTCAAGGGAACAAATGAATAGACTGAATGTAATTACAAGACTAGAAATCATTTTTATAAATGAAATCTTAATTTAGATAGCATGACAGCTTGGTGTCGGATTTTTTTCAAATGCAAATTATACCCATGAATCTAAGGAAGTGTTGATCTTTATGTGACAAAAAAGCTTAAAGAAAATTGGAAGCATTTTAATTCTATACTAAGAGGCATTTGGTCAAAATTGATGATAGACAGTTCCTTGTCAATAGGAGCCTCTTTAGTGTTCATTAGCACAATAGAGAGTTTCATGATATAAAGAAAATTGAACACCTTGACTTTTTCAGTAGGTTTATATTGGCTTGATCTAACTGATCAATAAATGAATGAAAATATGAATGAATGAATTACATGTATGTATGACTTTTTGGTACTGTCAAAGATAATAAATAGTTTGATACCTTGATCAGGAGAACGGTTAATCTTCTTTCTAAAAGTATTAAAGGTCAGAGAGATAGCAGCAAGATAGCCAACTAGAAGCCCCTAGTGCTTATGCCTCTGTCAAAGACAGCCAGAACAATGGAAAAGCAGCTGCATTTTAAAACTAATAGAAACTTGGGTGAGCACAAAAACTCAGGATGGCTACATAGAGAATAAGGAAATGCCAGGCCTTCACCATCCCATCCCCCAAGTGGGATCAGCTGGAAGCCAGGAGGAACTTCTTATGGTGAGGAGGTAAGCAGGATGACTCCAACAATCTCCATCAACACCCTGGACACCAACAGACCTTCCCACTGGTGTTCTCTGCAGTCTTCTTAGGCACCAAGCCCACATGGTGAAGCTGCCTGGAGTCTATATAGCTGTGCTTAGCCAGAGAAGGAGTTGACACTGTGCCCCACCTGCTGTGGCCCATGTGACTATTGGCTATGGCATCTTGGAACAGGAACTACAGCTAGACTGAGCCTTACTCAAGGAGTAAGTAGTCATGGCTCCCCTTCATCCCTGAGACTAAACCACCCCTGAACCACCCCATCCCCAGAGCCCCACATCCCCAATATGTGCTGTTAACAGCTGTTAACACTTTTTCCTGTGGGGTCAAGTGGAGGTGGAATTGCTCTACCAACTCCTCCCCCTGCCCCTGCTGAAGCAGCATCCTGTCTCTTGGGAAAACAGTACCTTGGCTATTCAGAGCAGTCATGTCTCCCTGGTGTCTAAGTTGAAGTGGTGCCCTGCATCCTAGGAAATTGTGCCTTGGCCATCCAGAGCAGTCATGCACTCCATTACTTAAGCTGAACTGATGCCCCGCATCCCAAGAAAACAGTGCTTGTGCAGCCCAGAACAGTCACATCCTTCAAGCCTGAGCTGAAGTGGCACATTGTCCCTTGGGGAATTAGTGCTCTGGCTGAGCTGAGCAGAAACTGAGCTGAGACACCTTGCTCTATAAACTGAACAATTTTAGACTTCGATTCCCCAGCACTGGCCTAGCTCTCTAGAGTCTCAGATGCAGAAGTACCCCTCTATCTAGGGAGTGGAGTCATTGCTGTGTTTTTTCCTACCCACCTGTCACCCAGGGAACAAACAACAGCTGTCCTCCACCATTCTGGAGTACTGAAAGCAAATACACTTGGCCCCACACATTCTGGGATACTGCTGAGCACCACTATCCCAGGGTCTACAATCACTACTACCCAGTGCCTCATCCCTTGGAACCTGAGTTGACACTGAGCCCTATTGACTCAGGTTTCTGAATTGCAGCCATACCCTGCTCCCAAGGCCAAAGTTCCAGAGCACTCCTTATTCCCTGGAGTCAGGCCAGTGCTGTGCCCTGCCCCCCAGGGGTAGAATCACAGCTACAACCTGGCACCCTGAGCCTGAGCTGCTAGGGGGTCCCTCAGAATCATAGATCCTGGCTCTATGGGTAACCTACATCCAACCCTGCCACAAGGGGTGAAGCTGCACCCCAAGCCCAGTTGCCTCAATAGCTTTATGAGATACTGAGCTGAAAACTCCTACTGCATGTAGAATCCTGATCACTGCACGTAGAACCCATGCCACTGCAGCTGCTTGTAGGCCATGTCAGACTTGACACCAAAAGGGATGCGCTCAGCTAAGTCTCCTTATTTTAGAGAAAACCAGAATAGGAGGACCCCAGAAGCCCTTAACACAAAGAACATTAAAAACTTATGTTGCCAGTGCCATTGCCACAAACCTCTAAGCGTAGGCTATGAGGCACCCACAGTTATTCCTGACCTTGAATACAACTGAAGAAGCTGCACAGAGACTCTATCTCTATACCTATCTGGAAACAGAGTCACTACACCTTTTCTAACTGCACAGTAAAACTCAACTGCAGGATGAAAGACTTTCTTTATGAAAATCACTCCAGAAAGTTTGAAAAAGGTGATTATTTCACTAGATACACAGACATCAATGCAGGGACACAAGAAACATGAAAAAGCAAGGAAATAAGAGACCAACAAAGGAATATAATAACTCTCTAGTAACAGACTCCAATTAAAAGGAAATCAATTAATTGCCAAAAAAATGTAAAATAATGATTGTAAGGAAACTCAATTAGATACAAGGAAACACAGATACACAATTAAATAAAATAAGAAAAAAATTCACAATATAAATGAAAAATTCAATAAAGAGATAAAAATCATAAAAAGAACAAAACAAGAATCCTGCAGTTGAAGAATTCAATGAATAAAATATAAAATACAATAGAGAGCTTCAGCAGCAGACTTGATCAAGCAGAAAAAAGAATCTCTGAACTTAAAGCTAGGTCTTTTGAAGTTACCCAGTCAGAGAAAAGAAAAAAGAAATAAGAATGAAAATGAGTGAAGAATTCCTATAAGACTTATTGGAAAACATTAAACAAACAGATATTTGTATTATGGAATTTCCAGAAGGAGAAGATAAGGAAAAAGTATAGAAAGCCTGTTTAATAAAATAATAACTGAAAACTTCCCAATTTAGTGGTGGGGGTTGTGGAGGAGGGATATTTGAACATCCAGCTCCAGGAAACTCAAAATTCCCCAAATAGATTCAACCCCAAAAAGGTCCTCTTAGAGGTACATTATAGGCAAATTGTCACAAGTCAAAGACAGAGAGTTCTAAAAACAGCAAGAGAAAATTGTCAAGTCACATAAGAGAACTGCATTAGACTAGTAAATTTTGCTACAGAAACCTCACAGGCGAGGAGAGAATAGAGTTATAAACTCAAAATGGTGAAAGAAGAAAAAAAATTGCTAGCTAAGAATACTATACCCAGCAAAGTTATCCTTCAGAAATTAGGAAGAAATAAAGCCTTCTCGAGGTAAGCAAAAACTGAAGGAATTTGTCACCACTCACCTGGCCTTACCAGAAATGCTTAAGTGATTTTCACTTACATCTGGAAGTGAAAATCACTGTCATGAAAACACACCAAAAGTATAAAGCTCATTGGTAGAGCAGATATATGAGGAGAAAGAGAAAAGAATCAAACCTTGTCACTACAGAAAACCACCAAACCACAATGATTAACTATAAGAGAAAAAGAAAGGAACAAAAGATATACAAGACAACAGGAAAACAACAAAATGGTGGATGTTAAGTCCTCACTTATCAATAATAACCTTGGCTGTAAACAGACTAAATTCCCAACTGAAAAGATATAGACTAGCTGAATGAATTAAAAAAAAAAAAGACCTAAGTATATGCTGCCTAAAAGAAACTCACTTCACCTAAAAAGACACATATAGAATAAAAATAAGGGATGGAAAAAAAATCCATACAAATGGAAACCAAAAGCAAGGGAGAATAGCTATACTTATATCAGGTAAAGCAGACTTTAAACAAAAAGAGACAAGGTTATTTTCACTTCAGCAAGAAGATGTAACAATTGTAAACATACACACATCCAATACCACAACATCCAGATTTATAAAGCAAATAATTAAACCCAAAGGAGAAATAGATTTCAGTACAATTATAGCTGGGGACTTCAACACCCCTCAGCATTGGACAGATCATTCAGGCAGAAAATTAACAAAGAAACATTTAATTTAAACTGCACTTTAGACCAAATGAACCTACCAGACATTTACAGAACATTTCATTCAACAGCTGCAAAATACATATTCTTTTCATTAGAAAATGAAACATTCTTTAGCATAGACCACGTTAGACCACAAAACAAATCTTAACAAATTTAATAGAAATCATATCAATTTTTGACCACAATATAATAAAACTAGAAATCAAAATAACGAGGAACTTTAAAAATTGTACAAATACATAGAAATTATACAACATGTTCCTGAATAACAAATTAGTCAATGAAGAAATTAAGAGGAAGATTTTAAAATATCTTCAAACAAATGAAAATAGAAACACAAAATACCAAAACATCTGGGGTATAGCAAAAGCAGTATTAGAAGGTAAGTGTGCAGCAACAAACACCTATATCAAAAAAGTAGAAAGATATCAAATAAACAAGCTCATGATGCACTTCAAGAAACTAGAAAAGCAGAGTAAACCAAGCCCAAAATTAGAAGGAAAGAAAGAAAAGCATACATAAATAAAATTAAGACTAAAAAATACAAAATATCAACAAAATGGAAAGCTGAATTTTTTTGAAAAGATAAACAAAATCAACATTCCATTGGCTTGACTACCCAAGAAAAACGTAAAGGTCCCAATAAAATCAGGAATGAAAAGGAGACATTACAACTAATACCATAGAAATACAAAAAATTATCAGAGACTATTATAAACAGCTATATACCAAAAACTTTAGAAGACCTGACAGAAATAGGTAAATTCCTGGACACAAACAATCTATCAGAAGTGAACCAACAAGAAAGAGAACACCTGAACAGACCAATTACAAGTAATGGCATTAAGTCTGTAATAAAAAGTCTCTTATCAAAAAGAAGCTCAGAATATGACAGCTTCACTCTGGAATTCTACCAAAGATTTATAGAAGAACTAATACAAATTCTCCTCAAATTCTTCCAGAAATTGAAGATAAGGGAATTCTTTAAAACTCATTCTATGAGGCCAGTGTTACCTTGATACCAAAACTAGTCAAGGATGCAACAACAAAAAAAGAAAACTATAAGCCAATGAACATGATGAGCATAGATGCAAAAATCCTCAACAAAATACTTGTGAACCAATCTGGCAGCACATTAAAGAGATTATTCACCATGTAGGTAAGATTTACCTCAGGGATGTAATATACAAATGAATAAATGTGATACATTACATCAACAAAATGAAGGGCAAAAACAATTTGATCATCTCAAGAGATAGAGAAAATGTATTTGAGAAAAATTCAACATCCCCTCATGATAAAAATTCTCAACAAGTTAGGTATAGAAGGAATGTACTTCCACATAATTAAAGCCATGTATGACAAACCCACAGCCAATATCACACTGAATGGAGAAAAGTTTAAAGCTTTTCTTCTAAGATTTGGAAGACAATCATCTCACTTTTATTCAAAAGAGTACTGGAAGCCCTAGGCAGAGCACTTAGGCTAGAGAAAGAGATAAGGAGCATCTAAATTGAAAAGGAGGTCAAATTGTCCTCATTTGCAAATAACAAGAGCTTCTATATAGAAAATCATAAAAGCTCCACCAAAAATCTCAGAACTGATAAACAGATTCAGTAAAGTTGGAGGATACAAAAAAAAAAAAAAAAAGAATACAAAAACCAGTAGCTTTTCTATACACCAAAAACAAACTAGTGGAAAAAAAATCAAGAAACAAATTGCATTTATAATAGCTACAAAAAAAGCCATGTAGGAATATATTTAACCAAGGAGGTGAAAGATCTCTACAATAAAAACTGCAAAACACTGATAAAAAAAATTGAAGAAGACACAAAAAATGGAAAGATATCTCATGTTCATGAATTGTAGACATTAATATTGTAAAAATTAATACAATACTACTAAAAGTGATCTACCAATTCAATGCAATGTTATCAAAATACCAGTGATGTTCTTCACAGAAACAGAAAAAAACTCCTACAATTTATATGAAACCACAAAAGACCCTGAATAGCCAAAGCAATCCTGAGCAAAATGAACAAAGCCGGAGAAATCACATTTTGAACTTCAAAATATATTTCAAAACTATAGTAACCCGGATAGCATGATATTGGCATATGAATAGAGACATAGAACAATGGAGCATAATAGAGAACCCAGAAATAAATTCACATATTTACAGCCAAATGATTTTCAACAAAGCTGCCAAGAACATTTAATGGGGAAGGAACAGTCTCTTTGAAAAATGATGCTGGGAAAACTGAATATTCATATGCAGAAAAATGAAACTGTATTTCTACCTCACATAACATGTAAAAATCAACTCAAAATGGATTAAAAACTTAAATATAAGACCTGAATCTATGAAGCAACTAGAAGCAAACATAGGGGAAATACTTCAGGGTATTGGTGTGAGCAAAAATTTCATGGATAAGACCTCAATAGCACAGACAACCAAAGCAAAAATAGACAAATGAAATTATGTCAAACTAAAAAGCTTCTGCGCAGCAAAGGAAACAGTCAACAGAGAAAAAAGACAACCTGCAGGACAGGAGAAAGTATTTGCAAACTATTCATCTGACAAGAGTTTAATATTCATAATATAAAATGAGCTCAATAGCAAATAAAAAATCACATTAGAAAGCAGACAAATAAGCTGAATAGACATCTCTCTAAAGAAGACATACAAATGGCCAACAGGTAGGTACAAAAAATGGTCAATGTCATTAATCATCAGGGTAATGCAAATCAAAACCGCAAGAAGATATAATCTCACCCCAGTTAGAATGGCTATTACCAAGGAGACAAAAAAAAAATGCTGACAAGGATTTGGTGAAACACAAACTCTTATATGTTATTTGGAATATATGCATATATATGCCCATTATGGAAAACAGTTTGAAGGTTCCTCAAAAAATTAAAAATAGAACTACCGTATGATCCAACAATCCCACTACTGGGTATATATCCAAAGGAAAGGAAATCAGTATGTTAAAGAGATATCTGTATTCCCATGTTTATTGCAGCACTACTCACAACACATAGCCAAGATATGAAATTACCTAAGTTTCCATCAATAGGCGAATGGATTAAAAAAAGTGCTATATATCCCAATGAAGTATTATTTAGTTGTAAAAAAGAACAAATTTCTGTCATTCACGGCAACATGAATGAGCTTGGAGGACATTATTTTAAGTGAAATAAGCTAGACACAGAAAGATAAATACTGCATGTCCTCATGAATATGAAGAAGCTAAAAAAGTCAATCTCATAGAAGGAGAGAGCAGAATAGTGCTTACTGGAAGCAGAAAAGGGTAGGGGGAAGAAAGAGATAGCCAAAGGTAGGTTAAGAAATACAAAATACAGCTAGATAGGAGGAATAAGTTTGAGTGTTCTATAGCACTATAGGGTAACTATAATTAGCAATTTATTGTATATTTTCAAATAGCTAGAAGAGTGGATTGTAAATGTTCCCAACACAAAGAAATGAAAAATAAGGTAATAAATATGCTATTTACCCTGATTTGATAATTTGTCATATACATGTATACAAATATCACATTGTACCTGATGGATATGTACAGTTACATGTCTATAGTAATACTAATAAAAGCAAAAAAGAAAAAATTTAAGAAGAAAAAAATCTTAGAAGTCATGTGACTTATGACATGTTACTTAAATTGTTTTATGAATAATTGTAAGAGATAGTTAAACAAAATCAAGCTGGAGAACAAGCCCAAGAAGCATATTTCTCCACTCCACTTCCACACCACCATCTTTAGAGCATTATAATTGCAATGATATTGGAAAAATACAAAAAGGTATATTTTTAAATGGGAGGAGACAACCTGAATATATCAAAATAATCTACTCAGGATCCATTTGGTGAGTATTCCTTTGGCAAAATGAATATGCAAAGGAATCGCTCAAAGCTTTGCTAAAAATCAAGTGAGATAAATTTAAGGTCCATTGGTGCTGGAAGTATAACCGAAGAATTTGAGAAGACAAAAAATAAAAATGACTACTGTTATTATTATTCTAATATAAAATTCTATAACACAGCTGTTTTAATTATATCTTTAAGGTAGGGAGGCAAACTCACTTGCCCTCATTCATAGAAAACTCAGTATGAATGACACTTCAAAACCTTGACTCTGTTCTCCACATCACACTATTGTTTTCAAAGAGACTCTCTAGCTTTATTTATTTAATGAATGTAAACCTTGCTGTTGACATATCCTAGTATGTTCTAATCAGGGTAATTAGCCCATGTGAAAGTTTAGACATATGGTGAGGATAAGGTAAACCCAAACCCATAAGAATGTTTTACTAGTTCATATAAAATACTAGGGTATGTCATCAATAAGCTGATTATTTATTTTTATTTTAAATAGAGTCTCCCTATATTGCCCCAGCTGGTCTTGAACCCTGGGCTCAAGTGATCCCCACGACCTTGGCCTCCCAAAGCTAGGATTACAGAAGTGAGCCACCGTGCCTGGCCTCAAGCTGATTATTTTGCAGGGATTTGAGGCATGTTGGGCAAAAAGGAGTCCTCCTTCTCCTCCTCTTCCTCTACCTCTTTCTTCTCTTCCTCTCCTTCAATGAGCTTTCAGGGTACCAAAAAGTAACCAAGAAAAATTATGGTAATTGGAGAGGAAAAAGATAATTACAAGAACAAGGAAATGCAAGCTGGTTTAACTAATATCTGATTCAGAGCTTCCCATGCGAACCCAAGTATTCAGCTTTCATTTCTAAAGAGATCATGTTCCCTCGATTGAAAAAATAAAAACAGACAAATTAAATATCTGTCTCTAAATATTCTCTAAATCTCTAAATTTTCTAAACTCTTATTTGTAATATTATAGTAGAAAAGTACCCAGTCTTATGTAAGAAACACAGATTAATTCAGCTTTACTCAAAATGTTGGTAAGTGTAATAAAAATAAGAGGTAAATTTGTCAGTGAGGTGGTGTTATATTAAAACACAAATCTACTACTCTTGCTTAGGTAGAACAGTCCCAGATTTGGCAACTAATAATAATGTGAGAATAAATAGAACAAGTGTAGAAAACAGACACTAGAGTTTACCTTCCCCTTAAAGCAATTTGGATTATGGCTTAAAGCATATATCATAACACATATGTTAAGAAATATCTTGTATGATACATATGTTTGCAATACCTATGTTAAATTTTAATCCATATGCTTTGCTAATAAAAATGCTAGTATTTACACATGATGGTATTGTGGATATAAAATGAGGGCTAAAATGGCTCAAGGATTTCCTTACATTTTATGTATGAGAGCTATGCATTTTGTTAATAATTCTTTTTAGTTTCCAATTTTCTAAAGTCTGAAATGACAGCTGAGGAGCTGCATTTGGTTTTCAAATGAATGATAGGTACCAAAGAGGATATGACTAAAATAGTGAGAGAGAAAGCATTAACACATATGGGATGTATGCTTTTTGCCTGAATAACACTACCTCTGTTTCAAGAAGTAGCACTTTAGATTGATATAGTCTATTATATATTTCTGTGGGCTGGAAACACAGATATTTTAATTTAACCTTAGAAAATTAAAGATTATGAATTTTTGTATGCCCACTTCTGGAAAGTAGGCAGATTTTTCTTGAAAATAGCAGGAATCTCATTAACTCCTTTTACTTAAAACCTGTAAGTGACTTCAAAATGTGCTCTTGAAATATAAATCTAGTCATAAAATATGCTCAGTGATAATGTTATTCATTCAAATAAATTAAGCCAAATAAAATCTCAAGAGCCCTCCTCTTCTTCCTCTTTTTACAACAATAAAGCTATACCCCACATTAAGACCATTAGAAAAACTCAAGAGGCAATTCCAAGGAGTTATCTGGCCCCTATGTTACCTCCACATGCAAGTTATAAGAATGAGAAATCTGAAAAGCTCAGCATATAAAATTTGATAACCTTTAGCTAAAATGGCTAAGAAACTTCAAAAGGCATACACTTTTGCCAAGCAAAAGTTTTCTCTTAAGTAGTTACTGGAAAGTTTATAAAAATTTCTCATCCTTAAAAAAAAATTAGAGAAGTCAAAATACCACAAAACAAAACAAAGGAAATATTTGGGGGAAAGAACTCACTTTGTCTTAAAGCCGCTTCTTCCTGTGATTTAAACAGTACGAAAGGAGAATATATGTTGATTATTTTTCCTCCAATCCACATGCATGTCAACTCCAAAAGGAACAGAAAGTCACCAGCACCATCTGAAGATCCCTTCCAACTGCATGCAGCTTTTTCAACTTTGCAGGAGAAAACAGAAGGGTCCCTGCATTTCCTCCAAGTCTTATACCGTGTACATGACTCCTACTGGGCTGAAAAAGCACTATTTGTCAATTTTTACTTAAAACTATGAGTAACAAATTCTCTGCAGGACATCCTTAAAGGGAAATTCTGCCAGGATTAGCATTCGAAGTATCTGGCTAAGCTCCAAAAAGTTTAAAATACACAATGTTCACACAGACGCATACACACTTGAGAAATTTCCACTAACTAGGCTAAATTAAGGGCATATTTATAAAAATAATACTCTAAAAGGATGATGTATTTTCTGTTTCCTCAATCTGTTTTTGGCTTTGTTTTCTTTGTTTTCTGGTGGTGATCAGAACCCTTCTTTTAGGTTAGAAATGTCTGAACCGCTGAGCTTTTCTTTTGGACATTGTCTCTTAGAATCTCCTTTTGAGGCCATCTGGAAAGGGATGAGGTCCCATGCTCTTACCTGCAAAATTATTGGTACCTTAAGAGATGGCCCCCTGGATTGTGGCCTCTATCTCTCCCTTCTTGGGAAATTGGGGAACTCTGAGACATAAGTTTGAGTAGAATACTCAAGGTAGTTCCCTGCTCTCTGGACTTGCAGTGTGGACTCAGCCTTCCCCGCTCTGCCTGCTTCCTGGTGAGCTGGCCACAATTGTGACATCACATCCATGGCTCTATGACTTCATAAAGCATAAACTCATTGAGTCTTTTGAAATCTTCAAAACACAAAAAGTGGACAGAGATGTCAAGAGTTGGATCTGAAGAAATTTTTGGATATTAAACCAATCCATAATAGGTATCCTCAGTGGGGCACACTGATTCATAAGGCAAGTGACATTTTCTCTTAGAATCTCCATTTGAGGCCATTTCTTCAGTTTGGAAGGCAGGATGAGAGAAGAAATTCTGCCTTAATCCCAGACCAAACTTAAACTGTCCTTGTTCTAACTGCTAAAGGAATGAAATGTTAATATCTTCTAAGGTCAAACTCGGGTATATACAGTCAAAGAACTTGAGCTAGAGAAATGCAGAGCCAGTTAACTGTATGTTTTGTTATTCACTTGACTTTAATGATTAAGACATTATGAAAATGAACATATGGCGACTAACAACAATAAATTTGGATTCAGCAAAAGGACACAAGTATATTTCATTAGTAATAGATTTTAATCCTTAGGACACCATTGCTAAACAGGTACTGCCTGTATTTTCCTTGTTTTATGGGCAAGGAAAGCAGTCCTTGAGATGTAAAAGTGCCTGGGACCATCACCCTCTTTATTTGCTCCCATGCTTCCTGAGAGGGTAATCTACATCCACCAAGTCATTCCAAACCTACTACATTCTGAGCCTTCTTCTCCCTCCCAACTTATTGCAATCTGTCTTTCACTTGAACCGCTCCAAAAAAGCTTCATTAAGATCATATACAACCTTGATTAGCAACCCAAAGAGTATGGTCTTCAGTCTTACCGAAAAATTCTCATCTCTGGCCATGTCTATTTCTTTCTGAAATTATCTTCCCTTGGTTTTGCTATGTTACACCCTTCTGATTTTCTGTTTGCTCTTAGCACCCTCACTTTCTCTCTATTCACCTCACTCTTCCCTAGAGCTTTATCTTCTGTTCAGTATGCTTCTCTGCAGACTTTCCATCACGTTCTTCATCAAAACAATGAACAATTTTATACAACATGACTCCCAAATGTGTACTTTCATCTGATACCACTCTTCAAGGTTCCAGACCTGTATCCCGCTATCTATTAGAAAACCTTGTCTAGGGGTCCCCAGCCATCTCAAACTCAACAGTCCCAAATATCCTTATTGTCTTCTCCCCATTCCAAACTTGTTAGTTTGCTGTATTTCCTACTTCAGGGAATGGCACAATCATCCACCCCTTATGTTAGAGTATTCCCTTTCCTCATTTATCCTCCACCATCCCCATCATTGTCCACCTTCTGTAGGTTCTAGTTTGTTAAATGATCTTTCTCAAATTTGTCCTCACCCCTGCATTCCATGTCTCACATGTCTCACTCAGATTATTCTGTCAGCCATAAAATAACTGGCATCTGCCTCAGCCTGATCCCTTTCTATCCTTCTCTATAGAAAAATATTATTTTTAAATAAGTTTGTTAAATTATAAAATACATGCTTCTTGCAGATAATCTGGAACAGAAACTGGAAAACATATACAGAAAATGTAAAATGTAAAATGATTTGCAATCCAAGACAGCCCAGACCAAATCTTTGTGTACCTCTTTAGGCTTTGTATCATTCATATATTAATGATACAGAGAAATGCTAAAATTTTTTGTAAATATATTGCATAACATAGTTATGCAGTATATTTAGTTAGAAAACCAAGACCACATTGTATATACTTGTAGAAAGTGCGAGATATTTTTCTTTTCCATTACTAGGTTTATGGTTGAGGCCCCTATAAAAAAAGGCAAATTAATAAAAGTATACAAATTATTTAATGTAAGTTTTTATGGGACATGGGAGCCTTTCAGAAATGAAGACTCAAAGCAAGAGATAAACGTGTGTATTTTTATGCTTAGATTTGATGAAGAGTGGATAGTCATGGAAAAGTATGACTGGACAAAGGGGATATAGTCTAATGATTATACACTCGGGGGAACTTAGCAAGGCCTGTTTGTTTAGACTCTTCTTTGTGTTCCTTTCTTCCAGGCATAGGGAGGTCTCTTGAATGAGGGTCTTATGACCTGCCTCGGGAGAGAAGGGTAAAGGGAAGGTGGGAATGATCTTCCTGCTTCTGGAGTTTTCTCAAACACCAAGGTGCCATATTTTAGCGTAGTGCATCCTGAACCCCATTATAAATCTGTATCCTTGTTTTCACTTAATATACTGTAATTTTCCAAGCCAATAAAATATTTTTTATTTTATTATTATACTTTAAGTTCTGGGGTACATGTGCACAACATACAGGTTTGTTACATATGTATACATGTGCCATGTTGGTTTGCTGCACCCATCAACTCATCATTTACATTAGATATTTCTCCTAATACTATCCCTCCCCCAGCCCCTCACCCTACAACAGGCCCCGGTGCGTGGTGTTCCCCTCCCTGTGTCCATGTGTTCTCATTGTTCAACTCCCATTTATCAGTAAGAACATGTGGTGTTTGGTTTTCTCTTCTTGTGTTACTTTGCTGAGAATGATGGTTTCCAGCTTCATCCATGTCCCTGCAAAGGACACAAACTCATCCTTTTTTATGGCTGCATAGTATTCCATGGTGTAGATGTGCCACATTTTCTTTATCCAGTCATTCACTGATGGACAAGCCAATAAAATATTTTTAAAGTGGCTATAACAAATAGTTGCTATGTAATAAAATACATAATGGAATAGCTCTCCTTTTTTTTCTCTCTTTTTTCAACACCAAAAGATACACTCAGCATTTAAAACATACAAATCACAGGACTGAGATTAAGACTGAAAAGAGGAAAGGAGAAAAATCTAGAACATTGACTTTAAGTACATTTACATTTATTAGGTTGTATTTAAACAACAATATGTTCTATGTGTCAAGTCTTCAAGTTCTTACCCAACTCTGAAGTCTGTATGATAGAATTAGGTTAAGGACTGCATTTTAGATGAGTAAAGACAGGCTCAGTAGTAAAACAGTTTGACAAAGCACTTTTACTTCTTTACATTGAGTAACACAAAACATGAGACAACCTTTGAGACTTTTGTCTTAGGTTGACTAGTCAGATCGCAGTTTTTCTTTGGCAGACTAGTATCTGAATAGACTATTTCAGAGCCAAGATTGGCCTGTTTCTGTGCAAGAGAAGGTGTCCATGTTCCTCTCTACTAGAGGCTGGGAAAAAAGACTCGTATACATTTTTTAGTCATTTTAATTCTCAGAAAAGGAAGACATTAATTTCACGAATAATATGTACATTTTAAAGAATTTTGGTAAATTGCCAAATTGCTTTCCAGAATGTAATTTTTTTAGAAGACAAATGTAATTACTTAATTTCCCTGGTTAGTTGAATCTTTTAAAGGCTTCCATGTTTTTGAGATAGTGGTTGAACTTTGTAGCTTAGTGTTTAAGGCATTTCAAAACCCCCCTATTCTCTCTACTTTATCTTACACTACTTCCCCAGATCAGTTATTATATTTCTCAGACTTCTTGGCTCCCCACATCTCATTATTTCATTCTAATTAGCGTCATAGTACTTCTGTACCTCCTTTTCTCTGCCTTAATATGCTCTCCTTCCCTTCTCTCATTTTCACCAAGGCTAATCCTTCTTTTTTTCTCTCTGGACTCTTGGTTCAGGTGTTATTTCCAGCCTCCCCATTGTGCAACACAGTCTAAATTTCATTTCTTGTCACAACACCCTCTGTGTACTTTTACCAAGACACTATATTTAACTGTAATTATTGACTTGTTATTTCTTTGAAAGTAAAACATACCTTTAAAGTTGATATGTGCCTTCCTAGTATTTAGCTGTCATACACGATCGAGTAAATTAGGCCAAGTCCATAAATTCACCATGTTCTCCCTTTCCTCCATTTCACCATCAATGTAATCCTGTCTTTCCTGCTCCTTAAAACAAACACCCAGATTGTCTTACTACTAATCACTTCAGAGAAATAGAGATGCAACTAGGGGCAAGTTTGATAAAACAAATAATACAACACTGGGAACTTATAAACATTGAATACATGTTTACAGTGGTTATTCCTTCTTTTTTATGATGTAAGTGTAATACAAATTGTTTTTCTGAAAGCCTGAAAGTCAGTTTCATTCTTAGAAGGTTTGAAAGAAGCCTCTCCTGGATCTATTTATTCTGTTGTACGCTTAGTAGGGTCCTCAAGATAGAGCAACTTGTGTGAATTTGCAGGTCATTTAAATAGCCACTTGAACAGTGCTCCCAGATTTGTGTGGAAAATGTACATCCCAGGGGAGTTTTGTGTGTGCATTTATTACATCTCCCATGTATTGGGGGAAATTCTTCATTGGTCTTAGTGAAAGAAAGTAAATCTTCCATCCTCTTACTCCCTCCCAACTCACATCAGTTACTTCTTGATAGAAAAAATCCCATTTGTTTCTGTGAAATGGTTTGGCTGTGCCTCCACCCAAATCTCATCTTGAATTGTAACTCCCATATTTCCCATGTGTCATGGGAGGAACCTGGTGGGAGGTGATTGAAATGTGGGGGCAGGTCTTTTCTGTGCTGTTCCTGTGATAGTGAATGAGTCTCAGGAGATCTGATGGTTTTAAAAAGGGGCGTTTCCCTGCACAAATTCTCTTGTCCACCGCCATGTGAGATGCGCTTTTCACCTTCTGCCATGATTGTGAGGCCTCCCGAGCCATGTGGAACTGTAAGTCCAATAAACCTCTTTCTTTTGTAAATTGCCCAGTCTTGAGTATGTCTTTATCAGCAGCATGAAAATGGTAAATTAGTACCAGTAGAGTTGGGTGCAGCTGAAAAGATACCTGAAAATGTGGAAGTGACTTTGGAACTGGGTAGCAGGCAGAGGTTGGAAGAGTTTGGAGGGCTCAGAAGAAGACAGGAAAATGTGGGCAAGTTTGAAACTTCCTAGAGACTTGAATAGCTTTGCCCAAAATGCTGAGAGCAATATGGACAATAAAGTCCAGGTTGAGGTGATCTCAGATGGAGATGAGGAACTTGTTGGGAACTGGAGCAAAGGTGACTCTCGTTATGTTTTAGCAAAGAAACTGGTGGCATCTCTCCCCTGCCCTAGAGATCTGTGGAACTTTGAACTTGAGAGAGATGATTTAGGGTATCTGGTGGAAGAAATTTCTAAGCAGCAAAGCATTCAAGGTGACTTGGGTGCTATTAAAGACATTCAGTTTTATAAGGGAAGCAGAGCATAAAGGTTTGGAAAATTTGCAGCCTGACAATGTGATAGAAAAGAAAAACCCATTTTCTGAGGAGAAATTCAAGCCAGCTGCAGAAACTTGCATAAGTAACAGGGAACCAAATGTTAAATCACCAAGACAATGGGGGAAAATGTCTCCATGGCGTATCAGAGATCTTCACGGCAGCCTCTCCCATCACAGGCCCAGAGGCCTAGGAGAAAATGGTTTCGTGGGCCAGGTCCACGTGCTGTGTGCAGCCTAGGGACTTGGTGCCCTGCATCCCAACCACTCTAATCATGGCTTCAGAGGGTGCAAGCCCAAGCCTTGGCAGCTTCCACGTGATGTTGAGTCTGCGAGTGCACGGAAGTCAAGAATTGAGGTTTGGAAACCTCCGCCTATATTTCAGAAGATGTATGGAAACGTCTGGATGCCCCTGCAGACGTTTGCTGCAGGGGCGGGGTCCTCATGGAGAACCTCTGCTAGAGCAGTGCAGAAGGGAAATGTGGGGTGGGAGCCCCCACACAGAGTCCCTACTAGGGCACCGCCTAGTGGAGCTCTGAGAAGAGGGCCTCTGTCCTCCAGACCCCAGAATGGTAGCTCCACTGACAGCTTGCACCATGTGCCTGGAAATGCCACACTCAATGCCAGCCCATGAAGGCAGCCAGGAGGAGACTGTACCCGGCAACGCCACAGAGGGGGAGCTGCCCAAGACCATGGGAACTCACTTCTAGCATCAGTGTGACTCAGATGCAAAACATGGAGTCAAAGGGAGCATTAAGATTTGACTGCCTGCTGGACTTTGACATAGGGATTGTAGCCCCTTTGTTTTGGCCAATTTCTCCCATTTGGAATGGCTGTATTTACCCAATGCCTGTATCCCCATTGTATTTAGGAAGTAACTAACTTGCTTTTGATTTTATAGCTTCATGGGAGGAAGGGACTTACCTTGTCTCAGATGAGACATTGGACTGTGGACTTTTGAGTTAATGCTAAAATGAATTAAGATTTTGGGGACTGTCGGGAAGGCATGATTGATTGGTTTTGAAATGTGAGGACATGAGATTTGGGAGGGGCCAGGGATGGAACGATATGTTTTGGCTGTGTCCCCATTCAAATCTCATCTTGAATTCTGACTCCCACAATTCCTACGTGTCATGGGAAGAACAGGGTGGGAGGTGATTGAATTATGGGGGCAGGTCTTTCCTGCTCTGTTCTCTTGATAGTGAATGAGTCTCATGAGATCTGATGAATTTAAAAGGGGGAGTTTCCCTGCACAAGCTCCTCTTCCCTTGTCTGGCATCATGTGAGACATTGCCTTTTACCTTCTGCCATGATTGTGAGGCCTCTCCAGCCACATGGAAATTTAAGTCCAATAAACCTCTTTCTTTTGTAAATTGCCCAGTCTCGGGTAGTCTTTATTAGCAGCGTGAAAACGGACTAATACACTCTGGTTCTAGTGACATTTCTGAGGAAGGAATGAACTGTTCCTTTTCAGTCTGATTCCAGCTTCAGATCACCATTGCACCCTGACCTTATCCATGGTGCTTTTTGGTCTAAGTAAAGCATTTCTCTAATAATACATTCAGGTTAAGCAACTATTACATTTATTGTCCTAATTTAGCATTAAGGTCTTTTCACAAAATACACTGTGATTTTGATACTATATGCCACTCTTCATCGGATCTTTCTGATGGCCAAGAGTTTCCTTAACTCTTGAAAAGCACATAAGTAAGTCTAGAGCTGGAACACATGAACATGAATACCTGAGCACATTTTCCAATATTTCTACCCCGACTGCAATAGCAGGAATTAGCATATGCAAGAATACAGCTACACATTTGCTGAAATCTAGTTAATTGAGAAATAATTTACTAAGATAAAATGGTTTGAGAATGGCAAACTCTCAAGGAATGAAAGACACTGAGAGCTCTGGAACTATTTTTGTGTAAGAAAAATAAAATCCTTTAATAATGTTCAAAATGAGAATTCAAAATGTATATATATAAAATATATGCACCAATTAATCTTTGTGTTAATTAATAGAAGCTTCAAAGTACTATAAAATTTAGTAGAATAGGTAACTTTATTTTAAATAACTTTCTTAACCCTGCCCATTAAGATCACAGTAAACATACAATAATTTTTATTATGGAAATTAATCTTTACATACAAAATCAGCTACGTAATTTTACTTACAAAACAATAAAAACTGTTCTTTACTGTGGCAACAAAAGAAGCATTTTGACAAATGAAAAAAATTAATGCAAACAAATTAAAACAATGCTTTTCTTTTTACTTGCTTCACTGTCTCTTCTATTTATTTTCTATGATCATTTGACACAAACATGGATTACTTTGATATCTACTGAAACATAAATGATAAGGTTCTTAAAGGTTGAATTAAAAGTCTGGGTGTTCAATATTTTAGAAGCTGAATAAACAAAACGAAATTGGGGTTTGTGATTACAGAGGATTTATCATTTTTTCCCTTTGCCCATATGAAAATATATAATAGAAAATTACCCACGGGAAAACATTTTTAAATTTAATGTTGCGTTCCTATCAAGTTTAATAATAATGCCAAGTTGGCAATTTAATTAATTACTTTCACTAAGGATTAATACTTTGTCTAGAATGGAGTAGAGGTAGACTGATCTTTTCGTATTCAAATATTTTAAAATATAAAGTTTAAAATGTCATAAGGAATTATATAAAATAGTATTTTTAAATATTTGAAATTTAATTTATAATTATATTCAAAATAATTAAATCCCTTTTTGATAAATAGTAAGTAAGTTGTTGCTTGAAATTCATTTGGTTGAAATGATTACTCTAAGGAACTCTTTTAGTTATTTTTAACTAATAATCTTTAGAAAAAAATGTCTATTTTTTAATAAGGGTTTCTAGTTTTGGAAAAAAGCTTCTAATGATTTAAATGCACTTACAGATGCTCCTACCACTGGAAAAGGCATCCTATCTGTTTTTCACACTAGTATTTACAAAGTATTATGTGACAGAGCAGCTGTTGAACTAAAAAAATAAAATGTACAAATGCAAACTGGGTCAAAGAAAAATCTTTGTATAAAATGCTTAGTTATTCCAATGTTAAATATGACTTATGCTTACTGGTAATAAATTGCATGTGTTCTCTCTCTTGTTAGTAGCTTGTTTTAGAAGAGAACACAGCAATGCATGGGCCACTCTAGCGTTCTTGTGCACCTGTAAAGGCATCCTTGCAGCCCCAACCAAAATCAATGTTTATTCTGCCAAAAATAAGAGCAAGGGCTTAGTAATAATTTTTCTTTTTTGTAAATTTCTGTATTTTAGTTTTGAAGTGCTTTCTATTTAAAAATAAAAAACATGATTTATTTTCATTTCTGACACAGAAGTGTTTCTTTTAAAAAAAAAAGACCACATTTTAAATTTCTGCTTAAATGTATATAAAGTATACATTTAAGTATACTGGCACTCGCAACAAATGAATCCTTCCCCAGGGATAAATGGATTGGAAAATTTGTTTTTCATTCAACATTTGGAAAGAGAACAAACCTGAAATATGTAATTTTTAAAATTATGTGAAAATAATGTGAAAAATTTCATATAGTATTTGTGTGAAAATCAGGTGGAAAAAAACTTCCATGAAGAACCCAATTTACAAAAATTCACATCTTTTTAAGATTTACATTTAATACAATACTACTGTTTTAACTGAATTGTGTGTGTATGAGGTGGTTTTTGCAGGGAGAGGGGAGTTGTATAGTGACTACTTTTTTGTGACCACTCACCTTCAACCTTGGGGGAAAATGCTTACTATATGACAAATGTAAATTAAGATCATTACTCTTCCGTCACAGATGATTTCCTAGATTTGAGAACAAGGTCTTTAATGGATGAAGAAAGTTCTTGAAGCTCTTTACGAGTAGTACTGGCAACATCTTCTTGTTCTTTGTCTAATTCATTATTCAAGGGATAATCTCCCTGCCCAGTCTTCTTACTTTGACTGACTAGCTGCTTTACAACCAAACCTTGATACTTTACCAAAAGAGCATGCTGATCCTGTGAAAAGGGAAAGAAAAGTTAATCAACACAATTTATCTTTTTGTGGAACAGATAAAGTAGAATTTCTTCAACTAATACACATTGAAGGTCCTCATCTTTACAAAAAACTGGCCATGTAAGTAGCAAGTCTAATCTAGCAGTTTCTGCTCTCAAGGAGTGTACAATTTAGGAGAGATAAAACATGAATGCAAATCACTTTACCATAAGTTGACTTATGGTAAAGTCAACTTATCACCTGGTTCTATCACCAAAGATACAGTCAAAGGGATAGGGAAGTTCCCTTTTAGCTGAGGGGTTTTTTAGCTAAAAGGGATAGGACAAGACTTTTGAATGGGTCCTTGATGGATAAGTTAAACCTAAAGAAGCTGAAATGGGAGATTTGACATTATTGTATCTTTTCTGAAAGCTTAATTTCCAAATTCAGAACATTCTTGAAAGATTCTTGAGCTATGTGGAATTTTAAAAAATTAATCTCCTAATCCACTGTTCACATTATTGGAAATGGGCTTTGATGTTAATGTATTTTATACCTGAGTGCTGACAGTAATTCATCTCAATCCACTCAAAATATTCAGAATGTAAATCTTTGAAAGTTTCAAGTGTATTGAAAATGTAATACCTCTGGAATTTTACTATTAAGAAAAGCAATGATCTGTGGGACACATCTTCCAGGTGCATGGAGCATGCTGTGGGTTGAAAACTGAAACAACAGGACTGATGTGAGGTGCAGAATAAGAGCAGGGTCTTCTGTGACCTTTAGCTGTTCAGCCAGTGCTTGTCGATGTTGGAACAGTATCTGTCTAAAAAAAAAAAAAAGCACACAAATTCATTATCATAATTTAAGAAGTTCTCACCAATTTCAATTCATCCCTTTCTGTTAATTTTTAGCTTCTCTAGTTTATCTAATTCCATAAAAATTTAAGGTAACTTTTCAATATGGGATATACACACATAAAACCTAAATGGCATGGATAGATTAGTGTGCTACAAAATTAAAGAAAAAGCTATAGAGTGGGAATACTCAAAGTATGTTTTTTGTTTTGAGTTGCTGGAGGTCAAACAAATTTGCACTGATTAGGTAAGGTTTCCTGTAAGGAAAGTCCCCAAGCTAATAAAAAGTTCCTGGGCTTGATGAACTATAGGATAAAGAAACTCTGCTACTTGATCCAGAGGGTCAGAGAGAAATATCTAACTATTTTAAGACTTTGAATATTCTTGAAGGTCTACAGCCATTTAGATATATTAGACACATTAGGTACATATTCTCTGTGTAAGAGCCGGGCAGTCAAATTCAAATTTCAGATATGAAAGGCTCCACATTTAAGAACATTTCCAAATATAGATTAATTTAATGTTACCTTTCCCTTTTTTTGTCTCCCCTTTTCACCATAATATCACAAGCTTCTGCTGCAGAATCCAGACAAGAAATAAAGTCTTCTATGCTCTGAAAAGGCATTGAATACCATAATTTACTTTTATATATAACTGCATAAGGAAGTATAGCCATTTAACAATTGTTTTGTAATTTTACATCCCAAATACAATTTTTAAAAGGGTCACTTTCTCATTAAGTTAGAAATTGTGATATAGAACTAACAATGGTAAAATGCCAGCAGCTTGGTCTTCTCTTCTCATTTCAAAGAGGCAGCTGAGTGCAAAATACTAGTTTTAGATTGGATTTACAATTACTCTGATAAAAAAATCTACTCAAAGATCTTTGTAACAAACTGCTAGCCCTGACATGTAAATAGAATAAAACTTTACTTACCTTTTCATTCAGAGAGTTATGGAGTTTTGTAAGAGCTACTTTGGTTTCTTCTGATAATTTACTTAAAATTTTCTTTCTTATCTGTAGGGGTAAATGAAAATTCATTCAGTACTGTGCTTTTGACATGCAATGGATATAAGATAAAGTGAAAAAAATACTGTAACAAGTTCCTGAGTGGAATTTACCATATTCTTGAATTTTAGATCTCAAATTAGAGACAAAAACATTATTAGAGTCAATAGCCAATCAGCCAAACAGGATAGATACAGCCCTGCTCCTCCCACCTGCTCCATCAATGTAAGAGAAAGACTAGAGAGAGTCGTTGACCTTGTGAGAAACAGAATATTTGGGTTAAGAGGCTAATTCTTCCATTAGAGTAGGAAGAGGGTGTTTTTCTCTACCCAGTGCCAGCTGTGAAGGGCCCCACTCATAAAGATCAAGGATGCCTACAAGATGGGAGGCTGAGCTCTTGTTCATGGCTGGATGCTTGTTATGCTCTATGGTATGAGGAATCTTTTCAGCACCTCTCTCTACATGTAAGTGTCCACTGAAGTTTTATGGTATTCTTGATCAGAGTCTTTTAGTTTCTTCTGGCATAAAATTTTGGAGCAGACTTGCTAGTATGGCTTGACACCAGGCCCTGAAGTGTATAATGTCTGGGAAGATTAAGGGCTAGTTGCTCCTGTCTAGCCTCTCTGCCCCAATCCCACACCAATCCTTCTGTGGCCCTTAAAGGGCATGGAACAAGATATTCTGTATTTTCCATAGCAGAGATTGGTATAAGGGCAGGAGACATGAAACTGTCTAGACAACTGGGGATTTGCTTCTTAAGCAGAAGAAGGGAAGGGGGCCAGCACCTTGCTGGGGAAGGAGGAAGAAATAACTGTTCCTCTGTTTGAGGGATGGTCCTTACTGTGAGAAGTCACATGAAACTAAACAACATTCCAGGGAAACAACTTATATCGCCTATGAGGCAATGACTAACTACATCACCAAAGACCACAAACATCAGACTGATTTGGTTTGACCTTGATCAAAGCAGTGACATGTAGTCAGTCACATCAAGACGCTTTTTCCTGCCTCATTTTTCCTAAATCTCCAACTCGAAGTGGACCTAGAGAGGTGAGGAAGAAGGAAGAAGAACAGGAAAGAGGAGGAGGAAGAGGAGGTAGAGAAGGTGGGAGGAGGACAGAGAAGAAAGAGAAGGAGAAGGAGGGGTTGTCATCTTGGGATAGATGGCACCTTTCTTCCTCTAGGCAACTGGGAGCCATTCTCTACATTACATAGCAAGAAGGGAGGAGATGAGCTTTTGAATTTAGTTTGAGATTAGAGTTTTAAAAAATTAATTGGAATTAGTCTAAATATTGAAATGAGATGTCCTTAAAGGAAAATAACTTCAAAGTTATGGAAATGGGTCAGAATGTTATGGGATTTGCCAGTCATTAGGAAGAGGGAATGTGACATAATAATTAGGGAAAAAACTGTTTATTCTAAAGTAATTAAGCATCATTACTTTTAACAGACTAGTTATACTACCAATCCTGCTAGCAACTGTATATATAGTACTAAAGTTGAATAAAAAACTTTTAGATTTTTTTCCTCAAACCTCTTTCACTGTATTTTATTTTCCTCTTTACTCCAAATAAGATAAAATAAAATGTGTATAGATGCAAAACAGAACACATCAATAGTGGTAGGGAGATCATTAACATACTTCACTTGTAATGGCTGCAGGATCGTCTACTGCCATCATTAAATCCGAAGCTAAGAAGTTGAAAATGAGGTTAGTGATATCAGTACACACTGACTTCAGCAAGTGTTTGGTAAGAGCAGCCTGTGTGTCATCTGGAAAATAAAGGACCTTTATTAAAACTAATTTATTCCCCAAATTATGAAAATCAATGAAAAAACAAGATTAACAAAGATTAAGTATACCTGCAAAAAACTTCATCCCTTTTTCAAATAACCTAATGTTATTGTACAGGTTTGAAACTTCTTCTTGCAAGTCCTTGATTGTGCGTTTTCTGCCCGTCCCAGAAGCAGAAGTTGTTGAAGACATGAATACTGAACGTACCACCTCGAGATAAGTTTTATTAAGAGGTCTGTGCATAAGACAAATATATTTAGTTTATTAAAATGTACTGAGTATTTATATAGATAAGGAATTTTGTTTCTATGGAAATAAGGCTTAAGAATAGAAATCTCTATTTTTTTATGCAAATAAAATTAATTTGGAGACAAGTTCACTAACAATTTGTTCCACAACCCTAGGAATTAAGACAGAAATAGATTAATTTTCTCTATTTTAAAGTATTCAAAGTTACTGCAATTAAGACACCAAGAATAACAAAACCCCCATAATTCAAAATTGCTTTTTAAAATTAATTTGGAGACTAGTAGACTATAAATCTGTTCTTCATCTTCAGGAATTACAACTTAAAATTCTCAATTTCTAAAATATTAAAATACATTTAAAAAAACCTTTTTATGCCTAAAAAGCAGTGCAAAATGATTAGTAGTAACTATTTCATTTTTTTACATGTGAAAACTATAATTCTGTAATACATTTATGCACAAAAAATATTTATATTAAAAAAATTATCACCACAGAAGTTATATTTCTAAAATCAAAGTTAGATACACTGCTCTCCTGGATTGTATTTATGAAAGCGTACACAGTGAAACTAACTTGAGGGATGACCAGGTTAGTTAGTTACTAATGGTCAAGTTATACATAATTTTCTTCATTTTTATATAAAAATACCCTTAGCCATTCATAAGGTAGGAGTGCCTAAATTTATTCTTTTTGAAGTGAATTTGTTACTCTATATTCTCCTTAAACACTGTTTACTTTCTGCCAAATTAAAATAGAAAATTATCTTTTCTTCCTTTTGAATGTTATTTTTTGTGCTATAGAAGAGACCAGCCAGTGGTTAATGCCGGTCTTTTTCTCCCCAACCAAGACCTATGACTGTAAGATGGGTGAGTGAGGACACTTTCTCGCTCCTGCCTTTTATTTCCCATACTGCTTTACCCAAAGCACCTAACAAATATTTGTTGAATTAAACTGCCACTGTAGGCAAATAAAATCTGGAATTTGGTGGCTAGGTTAAATTCCAAGTTTGAAATGAAAATATCTAATACATTTGCTTTCTATGATCTTGGAAAAAATCTTATTTAATAACCCATTTAATTTCTACCATAAAACAGAAAAAATACATTTTATACTTGCTTTATTAAGTACTCAGCAAGTTCCGAAATAAACTCCTCAGGGGCATCTTGTATGTGTTTTCTTAAAAAATCTTCAATCTCATCCTGGAACATAAAACTGATCTCTGGCTTCTTCTTTCCTATATCGGACATGAGCAATGGCAAATAAATAAATAAATAAAAAACATGCAACCAAATGGCAAATAGGGCTCCATTACTATATTTAGTAAGACAATAATTCATTCATTACTCAATTGTTAATGTCAAATAGCAACAACTAGTAAAAACAATTTTGAAATTAGGATATATAATAAAACCTCTTTTTAAAAAATATTTTATTTTATATTCAGGGGCTTCGTATGCATGCTTGTTACATGAATACAAGACATACTGGCAGGGACTGGGCTACTACTGTACCCATTAACCAAAGAGTGAACATTGTACCTATTAGGTAATTTTTTTAACCCTTGCCCTGCCCACATACCGCCCCCCCCCAACTTCCCTTCTTTCGGAGTTCTTCTATTATTTTCCATGTGTGCCCATTGTTTAGCTCCCATTTATAAGTGAGAACATGTGGTATTTTGTTTTGTTTCTGAGTTAGCTCACTTAGAGTAATGGCCTCAAGTTCCAACCACGTTGCTGCAAAGGACATCATTTTATTGTTTTTAATGGCTACATTGTATTCCATGGTATACACCACATTTTCTTAATCCAGTCAATCATTGGTGGACACTTAGGCTGGTTCTATGACTTTGCTATCGTGAATAATGCCTCAAAGAACATAAGAGTATATGTGTCTTTTCAATATAATAATTTCATTTCCTTTGGGTAGAAACCCAGCAGTGGGATTGCTGGGTCAAATAGTAGTTCTAATTTTAGTTCTTTGAGAAATCTCCATACTGTTTTCCATAGAGGTTGAACTAATTTACATTCTCTCCAACTGTGTATAACCATTCCCTTTTCCCCACATCAACACTAACATCTGTTGTTTTTTGACTTTTTAGTAATAGCCATTCTGACTGGTGTATGATGATATATTGTGGTTTTAGTTTGCATTTCTCTGATTAGTGATGTTGAACATTTATTCATGTGTTCGTTGGCTGCTTGTATTTCTTCTTTTGAGAAGTATCTGTTCATATCCTTTGCTCAGTTTTCAATGGGGCTTCTTCTTGTTGAGTTCTTCGTAGACTCTAGATATTAGTCCTTTGTCAGAAGCATAATTCGCATATATTTTCTCCCATTCTGAAGGCTATTTACTCTGTTGTAATTATTTATTTTGCTGTGCAGAAACTTTTTAGTTTAATTAAGTCCTATGTGTCAATTTTTGGTTTTGGTGCATTTGCTTTTGGGATTTTTATCATAAATTCTTTGCCTAGGCCAATGTCCAGAAGATTTTTTCCTAGGTTTTCTTCTAGGATTTTTACAGTTTCATGTCTTACATTCTAAATATTTACTCCACCTAAAGTTGATTTTTGTGTATGACGAGATAGGATACAGTTTCGTTCTTCCCAGAACCATTTATTGAATAGGGTGTCCTTTCCCCATTGTTTATTTTTGTCGACCCTGTCCAAGATCAGTTGGTTGTAGATATGTGGCTTTATTTCTGGGTTGTGTATTCTGTTCCAATGATCTATGTGTCCATTTTTCTAGCAGTACCATGTTGTTTTGGTTACTATAGCCTTGTAGTATAATTTGAAGTCAGACAATATGATGCCTCCATATTTGTTCTTTTTGCTTAGGATACTTTGGCTATTCAGGCTCTCTTTTGGTTCCATATCAACTTTAGGAGTGTATTTTTCTAATTCTGTGAAAAATGATGTTTGTTTTTGATAAAGATTGCACTGAATCTGTAGACTGCTCTGGGGAGTATGGTCATTTTAACAATATTGATTCTTCTAATCCATGAGCCTGGGGTGTCTTTCTATTTGTTTGTGTCATCTACGATTTCTTTCATCAGTGTTTTGTAGTTACCTTTGTAGAGATCTTCTATTTCTTTGGTAAAATGTATTCCTAGTTTTTTTTTTTTTTGTAGCTATTAAAAATAAGACTGAGTTCTTGATTTGGTTCTCAGCTTGAAAGACACTGATGTATAGAAATGCTACTAATTTTTGTATACTCATTTTGTATCCTGATATTTTACTGAAGTCATTTATCAAGACCAGGAGTCTTTGGAGGAGTCTTTATGGCTTTCTAGGTATATGATCGTGTCATCAGAGAACAGAGATAATCTGACTTCCTCTTTTCCAATATGGATGCTTTTATTTCTTTCTTTTGCCTGACTGCTCTGGCTAGGATTTCTAGTACTACGTTGAATAGGAGTGGTGAGAGTAGACATCCTTTGCCTTGTTCCAGTTCTTAATGGCTCTATCAATTTTTCTCCACTCAGTATGATGCTGTTGTGGGTTTGTCGTTAAGTAGCTCTTATTATTTTGAGGTATGTTCCTTTGATGCCTAGTTTTCTGAAGATTTTTATCATGAAGTGGTAAAATTTCTTATGTGATCATTTTCTAACTTCATTTAAAACTGATTATTTTCTATAAGTCAATCAGAAAATAATAAAGAGTTTTCCCCTTTGTTAAACCTGGATGATACAAATAGCTGGAAATCAAAACAAGTATTTCAAAACAAATTTTTAAGGAAAGAATAATTTATCTTTGTTGAACAAGGAATACCGGGCAGTTTTTCCTCCTTTATAAAAATATAAATTTATTAGAAATTAAATAATCCTTATAATCTAAATAAGATCTTTGGAAAGTCTTTATAATCATGTGAATCACAATTCAAATAATTGTTTAAGCTAAAATGTATCTTTTGGAAAAGGCATAGATTAAAAAAAAATCTCAGAATTCTATAATTTATTTTTGCTCTCACAAAAATAAGTCTATAGTCAGGAAAGTTTGTATGCAGCTACTGTAATGAAAATAATAGCTAACTGTGCAAATGTCATGCCTACCCATTTACTTAGGAAAGCATGGGTTGTAGACAAAAAAAGCTAACAATATTTCCATTAGAAATTGTAAAGGTATAAAAGTGATTATTTCTAGCTTAATTAAGTTATTGATTCTATAAGCAAAAACTTTACAAATAAAAATAAAATGGCTCAAAAATCAATTTTCACTATAAATAAAAATCTAAGGAGTTGACATGCTAGCTTTAGAGTAGACAGACAGTACTATTATCTTCTGGGATCTGCTGTCCATTCCTAATGTTCACATTAAATGATCTATGATTTCCCTGTTTACTTCCTTTATGCATTTTCAAAGTTATTAAATTATATTTTCTTCTAGTAATCTTTCATACTGAGTTGATCCTATATTTTAGCTGAGAACCCAATTTCATCCTCTATTTCAGAGATTACAACATAAATTTTTTTTCAAAAGCATTGAAATTATATTTTTAAAGGTAGAATGGTTTTACTACTTTTATAGCTCCTTTCAATAATAATCTATTCACAAAAGGAATATCACATGCCTCATTTAACCATTATTTAAGATTACAGATATTAGAGAAGTGTTTTCTTGTAATGCCTCTTCACCCACATGCCTAGTACACCTGGGCAACAGGAAAATCCATTTACCAGTGAAAAATTAAAATTCACAATGGATAGTCTTAATCCTATTTGAAATAAGGATAAAGCTAGTAGTTCCTATAAAGATACTTTTCCTTTAATTAACGTTGTTTTACATACATGAAGAACAGTAGTTATTTCTACCTATCTCAGAATACTTTAAAGACAAATCTTAAACAACTGTGCTATTACAAATAGCAAGTAGAACATTAATAGCTGCAGGCACATCACTTGATATCTACATCTTCCAGCTATAGCCCGTATGTAATGAATTCTGTGAAAGAGGAAAAATATAAATCTCAATCTATTATCATTTAAAGTTTTTTTTTTTAATTTTCATTTTGCTGGGGATAAGGAAGAGGGCAGTATCATGGTTTCATTAAGTTTACCTTTTTTAAACAGAAAAATTAAAAATATCATAATTTTAATTAGAAAAACAAAAGATGTCTCTTGTAGACTTTCTTGGCCAAGCACTAGCAAGTCTAGGAAAAGAAAGATGCATATAATTAATGCTCTCTCTTAGATATAAGCAACCAACCAGTTAGGTGTTACTATGAAAGTAAAATGTACATAAAATTAATGTTTCCTATTTAAATTTGCAAGTCTACTTTTCAAAAATATCCTAATACTTGTTTTGCATGGCAGTGGAAGACCATAAAAATGATCATGGTAAGGTGAAACCATGCAAAGCTTTCTTAATAATCAATAGGAAAAATTACAATTGTTCTGTGGCCTTTAAAAATTTTTGGTAAACATTAAAAGCTTTTACTGTTGGTTATAAATGTATAGGAAAATGAAAAATAAAACTAATGTTTATAATTTAATATGCTGTATTTTTAACACATTAGAACATGGAGAATGAAAGTGTTTTATTTCTGTGTAAAATACTTATCAGGAATAGTCTGAACAGTGCTTGCTTTCTTCTTATTATCAATTAACTTGCAGTATGGACCAAGTACCTTTCCTATGCCTTATAAATTGTCATACCACTTTCTAACTCTGAATCAGCTTCCAATGTTTTATCCCTTGCCTTTTCAATGTCTTGGAATATCTCCAAGAATTGTGAAGTTTTTCCCCACTTTACATCCTCTAAGATGTTTTCATCCTTTTTGTCATAACCACTTTCCTCATTTTCTTGAGCAATGGCAGTGTCAACATTCCCACAGTCAGCCATTCCCTCTATAACTCCATTTATGCTTGATTCCAATTTTATTTTCAGTGTTATCACTTTTCATTTCTTTGCTACGCTTTTATCTTTGTTGGCCAATTCTCTTTTTGATTATCCATTTCTGTAAAATATCATAGCGTTTATCACTGGGAGACAATTAGGCAATACAGCTACATGCTTTGTTGTTTGTGCATAAGGAATAACCAATGTGCAGTGACCAATCATTGACAAACTATACAATAAGTGGTGTGATTGTCACAGATCATGATATGCATCTGTTATTTATGTACTGATTTGTGGACTGAAGAGCTACTTTATACTATACTCAGTTAATATACCGAAGTATCTTTGTATCTAATATTTAAGATAAACAGTGTTGTTACTGGACTGATAACATTTAACTAAAGTGTGGTAACTGAAATTTGTGTCACTGAAACACTGCAAAATAAGGACTTCCTGTATTAGCATATATACCTAATTATATACATCTTAAGAAAATATGTTACAAATATCACACATACACCAAGGAAAAGTAAAGAAAAGCTACCTACCAGTGTGGGATGATTGAGATTCATCATCACTATCATCATCTTTTCTTCCTTTCTTCTTGACTTTTTTAATTTTGTACTCTCTGGCATTGCCCCCACCTCCTCCTCTCATGCTTCCACTGCCCTCTGGTGGGAAAATGACATTAGTTAGCATTACCTAACTAAATCATCATTTTTATAAAATAATGACACTATATTGTTGTATTTAACTTTACAGCAGAAAAAATAAAGGCAAAATAAAGAAACTTTTAGACTCTTTTTAAATTTGGAGTTCCCTATTAAAAGTTTAGTAAATCCAATACATAAAAAATTAATAATAAAATATGAAATCTTTTGAGCAATCTACCTTAGATAGCCTGACTGCTCTAAATGCATTCTCTTTCTCCTTCTCTAACGTCACCTCTTTCCTGTAACTCTCAATATTTTCTTAACAAAAATCCATTCCTTCACCTCCTCTTCTACCTTCCCCAAAAGAAATGTGTCCTCCTTTGCTCATCTGTGTTACCACAGCCTCATCAATAACCTTCTATTATAAGACTTCACAAATTTAATTATTCTTATTTTGCCTTCTTTGTTGAAAGATTATTACCTGTTTTTAGAGGAGATATCCTGACTCATCTGCTACTCAAACAGATTATAAACTTCTGAAGAGCAAGGATCATTGTGTCATTAATGTATATATTCTTTACAGAAATGCGTGAAACATAACACGTGCTTCATAAATGTTGACCATGAATATTAATTGGTTAAGTATAAAAGTATTATTACCTATTGACTATAGACTTAAAAAAACAAATTATGAAACAAATGCAAACACTGTAAATAAAAATAAAAAATACTACTTCAGCATTTCCCTGCTCTTTGATATTGACATGTAAAATATCTACTCTACAAAATGGAATACTGATAACGGGTTTAAACCATTGAACATATTACAACTATATTATATTACTTCAAAATAAGTAAAAGATTAGTCTTTTTAATAAAATAAAGTGATTACTAAAGATCTTTTTCTAAATTCTAAATAGATTTGCCTTAGATTTCATCACATCCTAGATTTAAACTTCTATTATTTTTCCCTTTCTTTTATAATAAAAAAATTCTATTTTCAAAAATATAAGTCTAAAGTGAACATGCTTTTTATATTTGACAATAAGTTTCCTATGGGGGGGAACATTCATGATTGACATGATTCCACACACTGTAATTAAACAATTATAATACAATAGCATTATCACTGAAAATAAAACACCAAATGACCCTTAACTTTTAATAAGAAATAAAATATTAAATAGACTAGTTATACTGACATAAGTCATCAATTGAGTAAGGCAAATTTATAACTATATCTTCAAATATATGATAAAATATCCATAGCTATGAATATTACTGTGATTTAAGTAATTTATTAATTTTCCTGGAAGAATAGAGAAATTTCATAATGCCATTGAAAAGTTTTAAGAAAAAGATTCTGGAAGAGGAAATAAACTATCTCAAAGAATTAGAAGTGTATTTATTAATGAAAAATGTTGAATATTGAATTTCTTCAGTTCCGATAAAGCACTAACAGCACTGTTCCTACTATAAAAACTATGGAAATACATGTTACTTTTCCATTGCAAATTACAAGCATATCAGTGATACCTAGAATAATTTCTAGTGACTTTAGATTAGAAAAAGAAATGTAAAAATATGTCCTTCAGAAATTTTTTCATTTAATTAGTATGTTTATAGGACACCTAAAATATATCAAGTGGTGCTTTGGGTATGTAGCAAGAGTACAACAATAAATGAGATCAACACAGTTCCCAAACAATAAAACACATCATGGTGATAAAGTGATGCAAATAAACTGACAAAATGAGGTGGCAGAGAGTGACTGTGGCTACTATTCCGAAGGGTTAGGAGGCCTCTCTAAGGAAGTGGCATTTAAAGTCGAGCTCTGAATGAAAAGAATACACCAGTTACTTACAGTCTGGGAGAGGGCATTCCAGGTAAAAGGAACAGTTGGTGTAAAAGCTTTGAGGTGAATATGACCCTGGCAAGTTTAGGAATCAAAACAAAACAAAACAAAACAAAAAAGGGCTACTGGGCTGGAACATAGACAGAGGATGGGGAAAAACAAGAGATGAGCATGATGATAAAATAAAGTTTTCACAAAAGAAAACAGAAAACATAATCACCAATATTTCCATTTTATTATATAAAACTTAACACATTAGCAAAATATTTGGTTGATATTAGCTGTTTAAAGGTAAATCAATAAAACAAAGGGCCTTTCAAAGGGCATAATAAATGTGATAAATGCAAAGTTCACTGCAACAAATACAAAACTTTGAATATTCCTTGTTAACAATTTATTACCTGTTGCTTTCCTTCTTCGCTCATCTTTTTTATCCTTTTTACTTGTACTAACGCTTTCTAAAGTGGAGATTTGTTTCAGATCTTCTTCAGTGATTAAATGCACAGGATTATTTTTCATTTCCTAAAATAAAACATGCTTTTTTTGGTAGGAAAAACACATAGCATTTCCAAAAGCATAAAAGTTGTTTATATACTCACTAATTATTCTTGTTTGGTTTTGTTGCTTAGAACTATAGAGCTTTGTTTCAGAGCTGTCACTCTAAGGCAAATGTTTCTCCTTGCCCAAAATAGGTCTCTTCTCTTGCTGCTCTTGACCTTTTTTGTACCCATTATTAACTAATGAGAAATCCTATCTTGTCACTTCACAACTGATTACACAGCTGCAATCAGATGCAATCCTCTCCAGCTGTTACTGGCTGGTTTTACCACAGCTTAATTGATGCCCCATGCTCCTTCGCTTTTTGAGACTCCCAATTCCAATGCCACCTGGATATTTGAGATTATTAAAGATAATGAACCCTCCATCCCCTACCCCACACAAATTACCATATGTGAGTTGCATACTAAGTCATATAATCTTTTTTTCCCCCCTCTGGATTCATTCTTGATAATTTCTGCTTTGAAAAAGTTTATGATAACAACGATGAAGTATTTCCAAGTTCGGATACTGGTTCTTTCTGATGGCATAAGGTCCTATAATCTCTAGTGACAAAAGTATATATTTATGATAAAAGTAATATTATTTCCTTTTTGTTTTTCTAAAGAAAAATGCTTAAAATATTGACAGTTCACATGACAGAATCACCTTTTTCCAAATTTATTTTTGTGGTTAGAGGGAGAAGCCCAAGGAAAGAAGAAAAGTGATAACCATGTTAAATTTTTACTTGAGTAAAAAATCCCAAATAAAAGTAAGAGTCATTTACTAACTGCTAGTTAACATGGAACAAACATTTTACATATATCCCTTATTTATATTTATTCTTTCCATAGTAGGTATCATGATCCTTTCTTTAAAGATGAGGAAACTAGAGGTCTATTTGTCCAAAGTCATACAGATAATACACGTTTTAAATTCAGGGTTGCTGACATCAAACATGTATACTTTGTAATCTTCTCTGCTGCTTATCAGGCTAAATACAGAAGTTTATCTCATTTTTAGACTATTAAAGAGCTTAGAAGGAGAACAGCTAAGTATAAACTATTTACATATTTAATAAGCCCTCATGAATTTATTAACAGTTTAAAATAAATGGGCCTATTTTACCTATTTGAGAGCAGGCTTTATAAGGAGATGATGCTGCCAACTAGAAACATGAACTACAGAGTCATTAACACAGACCTGGCAGGACCTCTATTTCAAAATACTTTCATAGCAGTTGCTCTGAGGAACTAATAAATAGTAACAAAATTTCTTTCTTCAGTAATTTACCCTGTCTGTGTATGCCAAATAGGAAAAATTATTGAGGCTCTGCTAGATTGAGTAAATATATTGTGTATTGGTTGACAAATACACTGTATATTTGTACATATCTACAGATACTGTTTTTTGTGCATTTTGAGGTTTTAAAGTTGGACCAACCTCAGGAAACTTAACTGAAAAGTGTAATTTCCTTTACGTTATTTTAATTTATAAAGTCAGTTCCCCAACTTTTAAGTCAGATGTTTTGATGGGAATAAGAGAAAAAATAAATCTGGGAGACAAAATAAAAACGAATGATACATTAAAGGAAAATAATAAATGATACAAAGTGTTCACTTTCACTTATCCCCTTTTTCAAAAGACATCAGATGATTCTAAATTGAAAATATTATTAAGATTAGCAGATAAAAGGAAATCTGGAATACCTTTTCAGCTTTCTGGTGCATCAGCTCACGGAACAGTTCTGTACAGTCATTTATAAATTTTTCACTGACTACAACAGTGTCGCTAAAGACTACAGTTGAGGCCTGTTTGCTGAATGCCCTCATCACCTGCTGAAGCAATATGGCAGCATCTTCAACTGATAAAGAAGTGGGTAGCAGAGGCTAGAATTACAAACAAAATAAAAATAAAGTATAAATGCAATATAATACAGTGAAACCATTTGCTATATACATATATGCTCTCTCTAGATGATCTCATTAAGTCCAGTGGCTTTTGGAACCATATTTATGCCGATAACCTCCAAATTATATTTCTGGTTTCATCACCACTCTGAGCTCTGAAATCATATATTCTATTGCCTACCTTCCCCACTTGCATGCCTAACAGACATCTCCAATTGTTTAAAACAACACTGAAACCTACAAGGCACACATAGTTCGTTTTTCTCACAAAGTCACAAACAGTCCACCAGGATGTCCTGATAACCTTCAAAATGTATTTTGTCATAACTCTTTCTCCTATCTGAAATTATCTTACTGTTTTCCTTAACTATCTTTCCCTAATGAAAGTGTCCCTCCTAAAGACAGCAAGCTTGTCTGGCTACCATATCCCCAACAAGTATTAATAGAACGGTGCCTGGCACACAGAAGGTAGTTTTGTTAGATGAATAAAAAAACAGTTAAATCTGGAATCTTTGGGACTTTCATATCCAAAACAGAGAATTTCTGCTTTATAAAGAGGGTCTGGGCCCGACTAGAAAATAATGGATTGGCCTCGTTTATTTATCTTTATCTACACTTATCTTTTTGGCATACTGAAGGGCAGATCAACATTGAACACTGAAGTAAACACTATCCGTGCCAAGGCAGCTTGTGTTAATACATTAGCAGAGATTAATGGATAAGGAATAAACAAATGCTACACAATGCCTGATGCCAGTACGGCTGTGAATGCGTGGAAAAGATGTGAGAAGTCTCATCAATTCTTTATCAGGATTAACAGGAGTGTTATATTGTTTGCTTGTTTGTTTTGAGATTTATAGAATTCTGGATGTTGACTGTCCACATGTAGAAGGTCACCCGAAAGACTTTAAGCATAAAGATTATTTTTGTTATAACAATGATTAGAATTTGCCTCCAAAGCCAAGACCACCTTTATGTATCCTAATTTCTAAATGGTCAAATATTAGTAAAATATCAGTTGTCACTGTTTAAAGAAAAGTGAGGAAAAGATAAAACATACTGCAATATCAACCCATGTTCCAGAGCTGATGGCTTCTTCTACTGATGCTTCCACTTGATCCACAAGTCCTTGACCAACACAAGCTGCTTTCAAAAACAAGAGTTGTGTAGTCTTATATCTTTTCTTTATGTAGCTTACAGCATCTGGGATTCCAAGTCTGGACAAAGCATCAAATTCTACAAATATATCACAAAGTTGGATTAGAATTGTCAATTACATGTAAGACAAAAGTGAAAAATAAAGACTTAAAAGTTATAGCCAATAAAGTTATTAGAGATGTCTACCTTCTTAACTCCTCTAACTCCACCCCAAATAATCATGCTTAAGAAAACTAGTTATAACAAAGTTCTAATCCATGATTATAATTGAAGAAACTGAAAAGTACAACTCAGGAAGTCAAGAAAACGTAAGGAAAAAACCCAGTATTCTACCATACGTTTAAATTATTTATATACTAAGGACTTACAGGTTTATTACTGAGGAAGTAATCTGTTATGCAGTTTGACTTGGATTATAAAACTGATCAAACTAAGTAAGCTATATATATGTGTGTATATATATCTTATATATATATATGCTAATTGTTTTAATAACTAAATTCAGTCCAATTTATCCAAATGACAGTAGAATTTCAGACACAGAATTTAGAATAACTTCAATGTTTCCAAAGTATTAGTTAACTAATAAAAACACACATTGTAAATCTGATAGTCAACAAAATATTTCTAAGATGATATATCTGAAAAACTGGGCAACTTAGCAAAATGTAAGATATAATAATTACTTTTATAATTAAAAAATACTTTTAAGTTTATAGTGCCATCTTAATAAATGTAACTGAAAGATTGGCAGCGATTACTACCAGCTTTTAGTCTTTTTACATTATAATTGTTCAGTAACTATAGAACTAAACTCAGTTCCAAGACCCACAGAAACTCGCAGTGTGATTACTTTTATACTCAAAGGGAACCATTATAATCTTCTGATCAGAGAGGACAGTATATGTAAACTCTAGGGTTCCCATTTTTAAATTTTTATTTATTATTATTTTTAATATAACCCACAGATCAAAGGAGGACTCTAGGGTTAGTATAATACTTTTAAAGAATGAGTTTAGTGTTAAAAATAAATTTTAGTTTTAAAGAAATAAGAAAGTTACCTAGATAGCCATTCTGCCTGAAAAAGGAATCCACCCAAGTACTCTGTGTCCTGGAGTAGATGTCAGGGACAAACACAGCTTTATCCTGTCTCCCACCAACCACAGTGCCTCGTAAGCGTCCGCTATTAACAAGTTCCTCAAGCACAGCTTAAAACAAACCCACATGAATACAAATAAATCAGACCAGGTATAAATCTTAAAAAGTAAAATACTTTATTATTTCATAATTTACTTATTCTTAACCTTTAAAAAACCAATCTGAAGTTGAAATAGCATAAATAAAGGTAGTATATTTTAGACAAAATTTTCCTGCCATTTATGAGAATATTCAAAACATAAATTCAGGGAAGTTTTGCATTTTGGCAACTAGCTAAAGGTGTTGAACTTGTAACTCAAGCTAGTTAATGTTAACACTGAAATTTTTAGTTTGAGTAATTTTGGTGAAAACACAGCATGCCATTATCTATCTCATAATTTACTAAAAACAGATGATAAAACACTTCAAGAACAGGTAATATGCAATTATTAGTGTTAACAAGTTCCGTTTTTTAATATTTAAAAAAATCAAGACACCTAGACTATAATAGAATCAGTAGTGTGAAATACAACTATAAGCAGTTTAAAGAGTTATTCCATTTCCGCTGTTTACGTTGAAGTAAGACATTTCAGCCCTACCTATAAGAGAAGTGTAATGCCTTGGTTAAGAGGATCAATGTTGGAGTCAGACTAAGTCTAAACCTCAACTCTGCCACCTACTAGCTATGAAACACTAGACAAGTCATTTTCCTTATTTCTCCATTTCCGTATCTGTGAAATGGGGATAATAACAATATCATCTCATAGAATTGTTGTATTCAAGTAAATTGCTTGCAACAGTAGCTGGCATATAATAAAGACTCAATAATAAATACTAACTAAATATCACTACCATCACCACCACCACGAAGCGGAAGGTGCTGCCATTAATAGCAAATTTATATTTTTATTTAAACCATAACATTTAACTAAACATTTTGTTTTAGAAATTAAAATCCTCTAAAAAGGAAAAAGCAGATGGAAGGGAGCTATTTCTAAGTGAATCAGCAAGCACATTCAAAAGATGATTGGCAAAAAGAAAGGCTAATGAAAATTAGTCTGTAATGGAAATAAAAATTAGTTTGTGCATGAATTTTAAAATTGCAATGCTGAGTAAATTAGAATACATCAAAAAAGTCCGGATTTCTCAACAGACTACAACACACGATCCTCAATTTAGTATGACTGTACAATGTAAATCCATTCTAAATTCTGAACAAAGTTGTGAAGTTACCAATTATTATTTGAAGAACTTTACATTATAATGAAATTATACCAACTCCTAATTATATAGATTCCAACAAAGTCAGGTTAATTTTAAATCAGTCAAACAAAAATTTTAAAGTTCATATTCTGAAAATACAGTGAAAATTAATTTTTGGTTCAATACTTGATATTTCTTTTCCATTTTTCATTTTAGTTCTTACATTTGCACAGATAATCTGAGTTGAAAGACAAAATCATTGCTTTTAAAAATTTTCAGCAAAGCATTAAAAAAAACCCTCAAAACCTCCCAAGAGCTTCACAAACAACATAATGAACAAAGATTATTTTCGAGTTAATATGTTGTTTGAATGATAAGAATATACTTTTATTGCTATCAGCTCTTGGTAAAAATTGTTAGTGAAACACAATTTACTTTCATATTAGATAATGTAACAAAATCATAAGAAACAAAGTAAAAACTATTCTTAATCTTACAATTTTAAATCTCTATATGTACATGTATAATAGAGTGTGTGAGACATATATTTTCATTATAAATGCTTACTTTTTTTTTCATTATACTCCTCTAGGGCTAACCAATATTAAACGTTTGGTGAGTGTAACAGATAGGTACATATATAAAACTTGATACAAAGAAACTTTTTTAAACCAGGAAATATTTTAGTTACATTAACAATAAAAGAGGAAAAAACATTAAAGTTAGTAAGTTTTACATTAATAGTCTATTCAGCAGCTAATTAAGTAAATATAATTTAAACCAAACTCACAGTAAAGAAGCTGCTCCTGAAATCCATATTTTGAAATCAAAGAATTCACAGCTGTAGGCCTTTATGGAAAGTTAAAAAAAAAAAAACTTCTTACTCATTATAGTGTTATAGATTAATGAACTTAAAAATAGGATAATTAGAATTTAAGAAAAATACTGTTTAAAAGAAAAAATAAAGTCAAAAATTACACCAAATTTTAAATCCTTAATTGGAATTTTGCTACTGAAATATCAGGGAAATCAATTTGTACTTGCAATCAAGGATCAGTTTACATTGCCATTCCACTAAATTCTCAGATTTCCATGATACGTAACTATTTGCCTTGGTCTTTAGGTTTTTCTTCAATGTTTTTTCTGTCTGGGAGGCTCTTTCCTTACTTGGGAATATTCAAGTGGATGTCATATGATTCCATTTTTGAAGAAAAATGAGATCATATGTGCACTGAAAATGTTTGGAATGACATGAGGCTAGATTAGGGTGACTGAGAGGGATCCATTTAAAATCTTTTTTTTTTTTTTTTTTGCTTTTGAGTATTTTCTATTTTCTGCAATGACTATGCATTTCTTTTGTTAACCAGTTTTATTGCAATAAGGTATAATTTAAATTACATGAAATCTACCCCATCGTTTAAGTGTACAATTCAATGATCTTAATACATTTATAGAGTTGTGCAACCATTGCTACAATCCAGTTTATAATGTTTTCATCACCCAAAAAGTTACTTGATAGCTATCTGCAGTTAATTCCTGCTGCCACTCCTAAATCTAGATAACTATCTGTTTTCTGCCTCTATAAATTTGCCTTTCTAGCCATTAACATAAATGGAATTAATATGTGGTCTCCTTTCTGTGTTTTTGAGATTCATCCATGATGAAGCATGCATCAGTAGTTCATTCCTTCTTATTGATGTTCATTCCCTAGTATGAATATACCACATTTTGTTTATATACTCATCAGCTGACAGACAGGTAAACTATTTCTAGTTTGTGGCTACTGTGGATAATGCTCCTATGAACATTTATGTTTTTGACTTTGTATCGATGAATGTTTTCATTTCTTTGGGGTGGACTCCTATGACTGTATCTCATTTGTAATAACTATAGTTTTTTTTTTTAAAGGATACAAGAAAAGAATCTAGACTTTTTATTCTGATTACAATTTCTTTTCTATTCCTTTTAAGCCAGTATGCCTGTTCTCTCTAGTTAAGGTTAGTCTTTTCATTTTTAATGCATATAACAAAACGACTTAAGTAATTCTAACATTTCAATCCTCCATTGTTGATTATTTAGAATATTGTAAATATTTTCTACTTCAAACTTGTGAAAGCAGAAACAGTTGTATGAAAATAAATTGACTATTTAAAACTTCTGTGTTTTTGAGTAAATTATTATTTTTACCAAATTCTTAGGATCAATTTGCTTTTTATTAAATTGTTTTACTCAAAATTTTCAGCTAAATTATGTGGAAGCACAGCAGGGGCTTTAGTCAGTTTAGTGTTGCTATAACAGAAGACTTAAGGCTGGGTAATTTACAAAGAAAAAAGGTTTATTTGGCTCATGATTCTGGTGACTGGAAAGTTCAAGATTGAGCAGCTACATTTTTTGAGGGTTTCAAGCTGCTTCAATTTACGGTGGTAAGTGGAAAAGGAGAAGACATGTATAAATAAATCACATAGTGAAAGAGGAAGCAAAGGGGAGAAACCAATGAAGCCATAATCCTTTCAACAATATACTCTCTTGAGAACTAATCCATTCCCATGAGAACAATAATTCACTCACCCTGGTGGGAGGGCATTAATCTATTCATGAGAAAGCCACTCCTGTGACCCAAACACTTACTAGGCCCTACTTCCCAATACTGCCACATTGGTGATCAAACTGCAACATAAGTTTTGGTGGGTACAAACCACATCCAAACCATAGCAAACCTCCAAACCAACAAGGTCTAGGTCCTCTGTGAATTTTGCTCTCCTTTGTTTACCTTATAATTGTTACAACCTCTCATGTTTTTTGTCTTTTGTTCCCTTCTACGCAAACACATCCTTACAAAAATGTAGAAGGCTCCTTGAAGGACTTCATCTTAAAATGTCTAGGTACCTAGCTTATTGTGGGTGTTCAATAAACAATGAATTGAGTTGTGCAAAATTTCTAGCTTTTTTTGTATGATGAAACTTTAGCTGAATTTTTACGTCAATTTGGAATACAACGTATTTAGTATACCTACATACATCATTCTTCTCACTAACTGCTTCCTGCTCTTCTCTCTGGCTATCCATGATAACAAGAAATATCCATAAAAACAAAAAATATAAACTTTTTAAAAGTCAGAGATGCAGGTGTCTCCTTTGAAGTTAGACTAGAAAAGTGGGATGGTTCGTTATTTTTAAGAGACAAATACAAAGATATGGTGCCTTAAATGGTACTATCTGGAAGCCACACAACCTAGCAACATCTTTTGAGGCTCAAAACTTATTTTCCTCTCATTATTTGATGGTACCTCCATATAGCGAAACTCAGGACTACTATGAATGAGAAAAACACAGCTGATTTTGATGAAAATTACCATCACCACAATAATTAGTCAAAGAAAAAAGGTAAATATTTATAAATAGGAACAAAGATATTTTTAGTTTTTAGTTTTTGACAAAGTAATAAATGAACAGGGTACAAAAAAGTTACAAAACTGAAGAATCCCTCTCCATTCCTACCACCCAGCTACCCAGTTTCTTTCCCCAGAAACAACCACCCATTTCTTGTGTTAGGAGGGTGATGTGGCACAGACTGTCAGAGCCTACATGGAATAAAGAGAACACCCACATGAGAAAGGGAGCTGCAGTAGCAATGGGAAACCAGTCACATAAGGGGAATTAATCAAGTAACTAAATACATTAAGGATAATAGGAGTTAGATTTTTCTTAGTCAGTGAACAAAGCTACAAACATGGAAAAGAAGGAAACTAGAATGAAATGAAACTTACGGTATTGGACTAGAAATGGAAGTATCAGCACAAACTCACAGTTTTCAATACACATAAAGATACAGAAATACAGATGTATAGAGGGGTGTATGTACATGTGTATATGTATCTCCTAGTTCAACGGTCCCCATCCTTTTTAGCACCAGGAACTGGTTTCATGGAAGACAAATTTTGCACGGACCCGGGTTGTGGGGGATGGTTTCAGGATGAAACTGTTCCATCTCAGATCATCAGGCATTAGGTTCTCATAAAGAGCGTGCAACCAACATCCCTTGCATGTGCAGTTCACAATAGGGTTCACGCTCCTATGAGAATCTAATGCCGCCACTGATCTGACAGGAGGAGCAGCTCAGGCAGTAATGCTGGCTTGCCCACCCTCACCTGCTGCACAGCCTGGTTCCTAACAGGCCACAGACTGGTACTGATTGGCAGCCTGGGGATTGAGGGCCCTTGTGCTAGCTTGTCTACTTTGAGAGGGCCTGGGAGCAGTGAGAACCGAATAGTGATAAGTAATGTAGTATCCAGATCTTGGTTTCTAAATCCCATACTCTGCTAAAAGAAAGCAGGGATCTCTGGAGAAAGGGCTGATTTGAGGCTTGGGACAGGGAAAGTATGAACTGAGCCTGGAACATCTTAAGCCAGAAAGAAAAGAAAGTTTCAAGAATGATGGGGGTATGCAAAAGGCAACCTGCAGGCGCTACCACTAGCTAAATCAGGGCCAGTATGAACATGTAAATAATGACAGCAGATTATAATCCAATAAATAAATTAGGGAATCATGAGTCCATAGTGATTTAAATGAATGAATAAACTGCAAGTCTGATGAAGAACAGGATAACATCCATGGTCCCAAATTGCCCTCCCGACAAATACTTATTAGTTACAAAGGAAAACAAGTAGCTTTACAAGCCTAGCTGGTATCTCTATTAGGAAAAATCTAAATTGTATGCCACCTGATATGATTCAATAACAAGAATATAGTGTTATTTCTGAGATATTCCTATCAAAAGACACATAACCTGAATATGAAAAATTATGCATAACATGCATAACACAAATAGGTATAACATGAAAAAACAGCAGACAACCAACAATGAACATTCTATAAAATAATCAGCCTGTGATCTTCAAAAGTGTCAAGGTCATGAATGTCAAGGAAAAATCAAGTAAGTATTCCAGATTGAAGGTGACTAAGGACTCTTATCAATTAAATGCAATCTGTGATCCTGAATTGGATCCTTTTTCTATAAAGGACATTATTACAATAACCAGTAGAACATAAAGGGGATCTAAGGACTGGATGGTAGTAATCAATCAATGTTAATTTTCTGTTTTTGATGACTGTATTATAGTTATATAGGATGATGCCCCTTTCTATAGGAAATACAGATTAAAGTATCTGTGGTGATAGAGCATCATGTCAGCAACCTCCTCTCAAATTGTTCAGAAAAAAAAAGTTCTCTTGCACTGAGGGAGGGAGGGAGGAAATCATTTCATTAGAATACATGCTCTCCTTCTAACCTTCTCCCTTTTGTACCCCAGTGCCTTACATGCATTAGGTGCTCAACAAATGCTTGTTGATTTGTTGAATGACAAAAAGGGAAATCACTGTGGCTGCCATGTGAAATCACCTAAGATGACAGCACAGAACTGGGAAGAAAAGATGGCGTGAAACTTTAAAGGATAGTGAAAGAAAGAGCTAGAAAAGGTAACTTAGAAGATGCAGCCAAAAGAGAGAAGAAGAAATCTAAAGTGTTATGTTTAAAAAAAGAGTATTTCAAGAAGGAAGTTGTAACTGGAGTTAAATGCTGCTGCAAAGTCAAGTCAAATAAACGGAAAGTATCCATTAGACTTACAGATAATGAGACATCAGTGCTATATATGTAGTAGAAGCTAGATAGGTGGATTAAGAAGTGACAGAAGGTAACTGAGACACTGAATGTAGATTTCAACTGTTGAGAAGGTTCACTTTAAGAGAGGGAACAAACAGCATGATAGATGATATAGAATAAAGGGGTTCAGAGAGGTTTGTTTTAAAATGGGAGACTTTTGGACATATTTAAATGCTGATAGGGCATATAGCCACTGAGATGAAGTTGATGACACAGGAGAGAGGAGAAAATTGAGAATATAGGTTTTCTGAATTCTATGCTGGAGTCTGTCACACAGACCCAAATATTTCAGAAATTCTTATTTTAGAAAAGTCAGTGACTTTGCAAGTAACATTGTTATTCATTACAATTACAGAATGCTAGAAAGTAAAAAATGTCATAAAATTCTCTAGCCCCATATGATGCCCAAAGAAGTTAGGTGACTGACTTATCTGCTCAAGGTCATGTGCCTATTATGTGATAAAGCTATGAACCAAATTCTTCTGACTTTAAATTGCATGTTCTTTCCATGATTCAAGGGTGACACTTATATACTGATCTGGGCAGCAGTATTTAAACTGCACTCTGCAAAAGTGTGTATGGGGTCACAAGGGTGGTGAAGGTAGGGAGAGGAAGGAGATGCGGACTGGAGAGAGAGGCTGCATTCTAGAACTCTGGAATCTCAATTTCTATTTTACAAAAGCTGCCCTTTTATCTGTTTAATAAACTGGGGTCCTAAATGAGACTTTATTAAAACAAAGAAAAAGATTCCGCTGCTAGGAAAAAAATGCAAACCATGATCAAAGAAATGTGCAAATATATATACTTTAAAATATACTTACCGGGTAATAGCACTGAATAGTCCACGGATACGTGCTTTATGTCGAGCTACAAAAGCTTCCGTAAAAATTACTCCTCTATTATCAAGATCAATATGTCCACTGATAATTCTACCAAGTCGCTGAGTTAGTGCCTGTGGGTAAAGATGTACATTTTTATTAATTTAAAAGAAAAGAATTACACATATGCATTTGCATAGTCATACTCAAGTCATGCTGCATGCTGAGGTATCAGTCATGTGATTGAGAAGTTTCAACAAGCATAGATTACAAGATATATCAACTAAAGTGAAGATTCAGTGTCTAGCAAAGTTCACTATCTCATGGCAGAGCCAAGAAATGAGTCAAATTGCTTGCTTACATGTTAAAAGGTTGAGCTGTCATATTATCTCTTGTTAATGAGGGCTATTTCTAACATAAAAATGACTATCAATATGATGATTATTTGATATGATGGTTTCTAGATATAGGCAGCCTCCAATATATAGAGAGCCAAGACATACAAATGGGTATTGGAGAAGACCCTTTCTGGAGCTTCTAATACTAAAAGTATAAATGTTATTCCAGATTCTGCAACATAGGGAAACATAAGACCTCAAAAGCTTTCCTCTCTAATGCAAATTTATCCCCGTCCAGAAGATCTATGGCAGATAATCTGACTTCTTGGTAACCTTCTTTCAAGTTCAGCAGAGTATTTCTCCACAGCTATACTACGACTGGCATCAGGTACATCTGAAATAAGTCTGGACATATTTCACATTTTAAGATAAGTTAAATCTACTCAAGTCAGCTCAGCTCATTATTTTTATGATATAGAAAAATGTTTTTTTCAAACTTAATGAGCTTTTAGAATACTGCTATATTCAGAATGGAACTGAAACATATTAAAAACTACGTTTCTAAAATGTATTCAGAAACAGTTTTATAAGAAATCATTTGGATTTGAGCTGGATACTTTAAAGAAGTATTTTAAAAATATATTTTTTGTCCTGTGATTAACATATGTTTGCCCATGTAAAATATAATTTCAGCTCCTGAAATACTACATAAAACAGATCTATACTATAAATGGTATTTTAAATGGAATTAGGGAAGCTCATTTTCTTAATATGAGTAAGTAAATCTGCTTGTATTATACATTAATCTCATGCAATTACGGTTTGGCCAATTTTGCAAGTTGGAGTTTCTTAAAGTGATAGATACCTAAAGAGAGATTTGGCTTCTCCCTTGTTTCAGTAAATATAAAAAGAACTAGCATTATTTAGTTTCTCCATTGTGTTAAGATATTTCACTAGATTTCAATGAAGCCTATAAAAAAGACAATATTTCCTGTTTTACAGATACATAATGTGAAGCATAAAAGAGATGAAATGATTTTCCTGATGTCAAATAAGTGGTGCAGACAGTATTCAAATCAAGGTCTTTTAAAAATCTCAAAAGCTTATGTCCTTTCCACTCTACCAAATGAATTTCTATGATTCTAAAAAAACAAACAAAAAAAAACAGAAAAAAGTAAACAAGAAAATAGCCTATGTTTTCAGGCAGCATTGTTATCACACATAAGATATTTGAGTACTGACACAAATACCTAAAGTTAAGAGAATGTCAGATTCCTTGGTTCTTCTTCCTATCATACTGACTGTTTAGAAGAGGATAAATGGTGAAGTCAAAAGATGTTGGCATTACTGACAGTTGGAACAAAAAAATTCTTTGTTGGCAGGATGTTCTGTACATTGTAGGATGTTTAGCAGCATCCTTGACCTTTACTCACAAGAAGCCAGTAGTACCCCCTATAAATTATCTTCATCAATTATTTCTTAAAATTTAACTGGGCAATCAGAAATTTAATTGTCTGGTTACAGTTTCTATATAGCTGGTATCAAAAGCATTAAATAAATCCATGCATTTATTGTACATTTGCTAATTGCATCAAAGCAGCCCTAGAACTTAGTCTATAAATTAGTTTTAGGGTGTCTCTTGGTTTAGGATGATTACAATCATTTTTAAACTGCCTCCTCAGAACCATTAATGTACTAGAAGTACCCCCCAAATATATTGGTACAACATATATCAAGTCAGACACCTGCAATAAATCAAATGATGGTGAGGAAGTCTCATTTTTTTTTCCCCCTTCCATTCAAAGTCTTCGTTTAAAATCCTTTGGTAAAAAGACACATTGTATTATTAGGAAAAAAAATACCTGTGTCAGAAAGTTCCCAGGAAGATCATAAGTTTTACACAGTTCTGATATGGTGACCTGACCACTTTCTTGCAATTTATCATTGACCTCTTCTGCCAACCGATCCAAATAATTCCTAATAGTGAAAACAAGAAAATAATAGAAAAAAGAATTAGGAATGTTTTTTCTGTTTCCTCATTTTATGTTTAATTTCCGTTGAAATGAAGTATGCCCCAAAAGTAATGAAATGTGTGTGTACATGAACACCACTCATCACTCATATTCTAACAAATACTTTTTTCTCATTAGTGTAGCTAAATGTAAGATTAATCAAACAATACATTTTCTTTTTCTTTTTCTTTTTTTTTTTTGCATCAAGGTCTCACTCTGTCACCCAGGCTGGAGTGCAATGGCATGATTATGGCTCACTGTGGCCTTGACCTCCTGGGATCAAGCAATCCTCCTACCTCAGCCTCCTGAGTAGCTGGGACTACAGGTGCGAGCCACCACATTTGGCTAATTTTTTAATTAGCAAACTTAATTAGTGAAATGGGTTTTGCCATGTTGCCCAGGCTGGCATGCTGGGATTTTTTTAAGTGGAAATTTGTATTTGATTTTCATTAACATTTTTGGAACAAATTTGCTTTCAGAGTTAAGATTATACGGGAAGGAACGTAAAAGTTACGTTTTACGTTTTCTTATTAAGAAAAAAATAGAAGTTTATATTATTTCTAAGTATTCCATACATTAACACTGAATTTTTTTTTTTTTTTTTTTAATTTGAGACAGGATCTTTGCTATGTTACGTAGGCTGGTCTCAAATTCCTGGTCAAGCAATCCTCCAGCCTCAGCCTTCTGAGTAGCTGGGATTACAGGTACATGCCACCATATGTGGCTTAAACACTTACTTTTTAAGTGAAATAAACCTTATCATGAAAATCAACACTGTAAGAGTTATAAATGAAATGTCTAACTGGCCATAATTGGCCTAAATTTAAACACTATAAAAAAAAGAAAGAAAATAAACAAAGTGCTCTTAAATTTGTACTTTATTGTACTTACTCATCTATCAGTTGTCCCAACACTAACTGAACATGCTTTTCTGATTTAATAATGTCACCAATTCTATTTTCAATATGAATCAGGTCCACATTAATTACCTGGAAAACAAATACAAAATCTATTAATGATTAGTTTGTATTGTTTCTTAAGCTTGAAATTATATACTTAGAACTATATTTTTAAAGAAATTGCCGGCCAGGCATGGTGGCTCATGCCTGGATTCCAGCACTTTGGGAGGATGAGGCGGGAGGATCCCTTCAGTTCAAGAGTTTGAGACCAGCCTGGGCAACATAGGGAGACTCCCATCTCAAAAAAAAAAAAAGAAAGAAAGAAATTGCTTATTCTTAAATTTTGAATCAATCTGAAATAATACGAAAAGCATTGGCCAAATAAAAAATTAGAGGTGTATTGCTTAGTTATTTTCAGTTCTGAAGAATTAAACTGTCACTTGCTAGTAAGTTTATATAAAGCAGTAAATTACATATTCATATAACAGATAGCATTTTACAGAAAATTCGCTGGCTTCTTGTTTATAGTGTACCTTGGTAATGACATATATATTTGTATATTTTGAAAATAGCTTCTACTTTTAAAAATGTTTCTCTATTACTTTCATATACTAAAAACATATAAACATGAAACTGGTGACTTTTCTCCCAAAATGACATAAACTCTATACTTACATAAAATAACTATGAGTTCATTTGGTAAAAAGTTAAGAATAAGAAAGCCAACTAGGGAAGAGTTGGCCAACTCTTTAATAAGGCCAACTTATTAAATCATTTCAATAAATCCGAATTTATTAAATCATTTTAATGTATCAGAACTTGTTAAATCAATTCAGTGTATCAGCGAGGCTTATATAACTATTTCTTTATAAACACTACACAAAATATGATACCAGCATTAGTGAATACTTGAACAAATTCACAGTATCAAAAAATTGAGAAAGTAAAGCAAAAATTTTATAAATTTAAAACCTACCTGTTGTAGATCAACAATGTTTACTCGACCTTTGAAGAAAAGACATTCATTTATTTTAAATGATCTATGCGTACATACCAACCCAAAGCTATAAATTCTAACATTTAAGTTTTGGTCAAAGTCCTGCATAGAACAGAGAGCCAGAATAATCAATGTCTTCAAATACACACCATTAGCTGATGGCTAAGTCTTCATGGCTGAAGCCATAAGCAATAACTTACTTTCAATTTTTTTTTTTTTTTTAAATAACATCAGGCCAATTATGAGCACCAACTGGCACACAAATTGGCTCTATCTATGAAGGGTATTCATTTCCCTTCACAATTCAGAATTTATCTACTGTGATCAAAGAGATATTGACAACTAAATTAAGATGAACTTTTTTTCAATTATTTGATACTAAAAGGTAGGCTTCTACATATCAGCATAAGAAAATCTGTTAAGTAATTCAAATTATAGCTCATATTTTAAAGGTACTATGAAGGAAAATAGATAAATAAAAAAAGACAAAGACCAATGTTACACTCTGATAATATGAAGAGAGGCTTTCATAATTGCTTCTATTTTAATCAAATAGTATTCAAATATGCTTGGTAGTCTGTTCAAATTTTAAGAAGACAAAGGAAACCAACTTTGTGCGTGTTTTTAACAGCATTTCATACAATATGATTGGTGTAGCACCACACTGGATTGAGTTACCTAATTTGTAAGTACAAGTAAGCCTTAAAAAGAAATACAGCCTTGATTTTCAAAAATCTATAATCCTGTAAGATACTGTCCCCCTTCACAATTACCACCTAATAAAAGGCAGCTGAATACCCTTCCCTGAGTCATGCAATAAATTAATGAATTGTAAAAAGAAACAATTAATTCATGTATAGTACACATAACTCAAAATGATAAAATATTTTAAGTGACAACATTTGAGTTCATTTAAATTATATGACCATGTTTGCATGAACCCAGTAAAAATATTAAGCCTGATTATCAAATTAACAATTGAAAACGATATCTTACAATCTATAATTTAGTATGCAATTACATGTTTACGGGTTTTGTTTGTTTGTTTTGCCCCTTCCAAAAATCCAAGAAAAAAAAAAACACTAAAGAATTACCTACCACCTCGGACATGTAGCTCATCTCTCATTTCTTTACTAATTTGGGCTGGAGTAATATATTCCTTTCCATCGAGTGTATGAACTACTTCTAGCTGTTTCTGAGCAATCAATTTATTAACAATCTCAATGCAGTTCCGCTCGGACAACCTGAGGGAAAGAAAAAAAGTTGTTTCAAAAGTCCACTTGAGACATTGGCGCTCAATAAAATTAATACAATGTATGAAAACAGGCTTTTAAAAAGTTTGTTTAGTCACTAACTTCTACATCACAATATCTGTATTTTTCACTAACTGATTCAATAAGTTAAAAAAAAACCTTTCAGAGTAAGTAGGTTTACATATGCTTAAATCATTTATTTAATTGGTACACATCATCCCATCACAAATTTCAAGTCTGTTGTCTCTTACAGGCCTGCTTCCAATCTTCAAATCTGAAGGGAAAATTGAAGACATTTATTTAGGTAGGAAAAAAGAAAAAACAAAACAAAACAAAACAAAAAATGCCCTAATTTCCAGTTTAATCAGAATTTTCTTTTAAATTAAGTGCATAATTGCCTCACTTACACACATGGTCTGCAAGCAGGCAGGGGATGTGGCCTAGTGAAACCATAACTTTTACCCACGTTAGTTACCCATGCAGTTACGAGTTTGCTATCAGTGGTAGAAAATACAGCATAAGGGGATTGCTGTCTTCCGGCTCAAAAGGAATAAAACATCGCAGGTAGGAAGTAGTCAAAGAATAGAAAGGCTTCTATTAGCGTTATTTTTAAAAAGCAGAGTTAGGCTCCTCTGGACACATCCTCCAAAGGTTAGTGGGCTTGTAGAAAATGTCAGTGCCCTGAATAACAGATGGGGTCAGGGGTCTAGCCCTAGGTCTGTTACGAGAGATAAAAGGGCAAGAAGTTTTAAGGATCAACATACTATTTGCCAAGTACTGTACTGGGGGCGGGGGTTAGCCTCTCCTTTCGAGCTCATTCTAGATCAGGAAGTGTATAATAGCCAAGATGTCACAGTGATTTGGTGGTTGGTGGGTGAGGGAGGGTCAAAGAAATGCTCAATAAAGGCAGCTCGAAATCACCGGCCCCGTCCATGGTGGGGCGGGGCGCGCCAGCATTTCGCTGCAGCTGGGCTGGGGGGCTCCAGGGCGTCCTAGGCTGAGGACTTTCCCGCCGAGCCTTGGACTTGGAACTGCGATCCAGGCTCGGGACAGAGGGAGGAGGAGAGAATGGTGACAAGCAGCGAGAAGACCCGGGATGCAGGGCCGCGGGTCTAAAGTCCCAGATACAGGCGTGTCCGCCCACGGCCTAATTTGGGCTCCACAAAGGAGAGGGAGGGTCGGGCACCTCTGCGTGGCCTCGGCGAACTGCGCCCGCTGGAAGTCGGCCGCCAACCGCCTAATCTCTTCCCAGGCGTCCGCCATCACGGCCTGACTCGCAGTAGACGCGGAGGAACTGCAGACACGTCAGCCGACAGGCGGTGGGAGAAGAGAGGCGGAACGGGCCGCGCAGAGGGACAAGAGGCTCCGCCCCCGACGCAGACACACCAAACGCTTGCGCCCGAGGCGCGGGGGGCGGGCGGAAGTGCCGTGGTTGTACCGCGGCGCTGGGGGTTCCTCCCGGCGAGACTGGCGGGGCTGCGGCGGCTAGGAGAGTGGTGCGTAGGTGTTTCTGGGGGGGTCGTGGGCAGGATGCAGGGCTCAGTAAAGTTTAGTGTCAGAACTTTGTTTGCGCTACCCCTAATATTTCCGTAGAGTAATAGTTGTATTAACTACTTTTCTTTTTTCTTCTGTCCTCCATTTGTTTTGGGGGAGGGTGCGGAGGAATAAGCCTGTGTCTAAGATTGGCGCCTCTCTTCTCTAGCTGTTAACTCTGAGCATTCCCTTTTGTATAGGGTATCGTGTTAATTTTTACATGCACCCAGAGCAGTCTGCCTTTTGGAAGATACATGGGAGACCCTACCGAAAGTAATTACTTTTTTTTTACAGAGTGAATAAATTTGCGTGTCATAAAGGCTGTATAATTGCTTTCGTGTCTAGAGTTCTAGAGTCTTTCGTATTTCTCTTATTGCAATGATTAACTTCATCAAATAATGAGGAATATAAACATAAGGTGCATGGCTATCAAGGAAACAGGGAAAGCAAAGAGAACATGTATCCTGCTTCCCTGTTGAGTAGATATTTACTCAGGTGTACCTTTCTTTTTTATATCTTTTTTATATCTTATGAATTGAAAATAAATCATGGGACCCCCAAATCACTAAGCTAAAGGGAAAAGTCATACTGGGAACTGCTTAGGGAATCCTGCCTCCCATTCTATTCAAAGTCACCCCTCTGCTCACTGAGATAAATGCATGTCTGATTGCCTCATTTGGAGAGGCTCATAAGAGAATGCAACTGTCTGTTATCTACCTATGACTTGGAACTTCCTCCCCACTTGGAGTTGCCCCGCTTTTCCAGATCAGACCAATGTTTATCTTACATATATTGATTGCTGCCCCATGTCTCCCTAAAATGTGTAAAACCAAGCTGTGCCCCAGCCACCTTGGGCGCATGTTGTCAGGATCTGTGCCATGTCATGGATGCAAGTTCTTAACTTTGGCTAAATAAACTTTCTGAGTTGATTGTGACCTGTCTCAGATATTTGGAGTTCATGTATCTCACTCTTTACTATTTAAAAAATATTATTCCAGTTAGAAAGAATGAATAATATCAAGTATTTGATAGCACAGCAGGGTGACTAGTTGTCAGAGGCGTTTGAACTAGAGCAACTCCATCTTGAATAGGGGCTGGGTAAAATAAGGCTGAAACCTACTGGGCTGCATTCCCAGGAGGTTAGTCACAGAGTGAGATAGAAGGTCCACAGGCAGGAAAAACAAGTCATAAAGACCTTGCCGATAAAACAGGTTGCAGTAGTGAAGCCAACCAAAACCCACCAGAAACCAAGATGATGAATACAGTGACCTCTGGTCGTCTTCACTGCTCATTATATGCTAATTATAATTCATTATCATGTTAAAAGACACCCCCACCAGTGCCATGACAGTGTACAGATGCCATGGCAACGTCTGGAAGTTACCTTATATGGGTCTAAAATGGGGAGGAACTCTCAGCCCTGGGAATTGCCTACACCTTTCCTTGGAAAACTTGTGAATAATCCACCCCTTGTTTAGCTGTAATCAAGAAATAACTATAGGTATCCTTAGGCCAGCAGCTCAAGCCGTTGCTCTGCCTATGGAATAGCCATTTTTTTTTTCCTTTGCTTTCTTTATAAACTTGCTTCACTTTATGGATTTGCTTTCAATTCTTTCTTGTATGAAATCCAAAAACCTTCTCTTGGGGTCTGGATTGGGACACCTTTCCGGAAGTACAGTCAATAATAATTCAATTGTACATTTTAAAAAACAAAGTACAAGTGGATTGTTTGTAACACAAAGGAAATGCTTGAGGTAATGGATACCACATTTACCCTGATGTGATAATTACATGCTGTATGCCTGCATCAAAATATTTCATGTACTCCATAAATATATACACCTACTATGTACCTACAAAAATTAAAAACTAAAAAATAAAAATATTCCTTTTAATCATATATTGATAGAGTTGGTAAAGGGGAGCTATTTCAATTTCTTTTCCATCTAAGTACATTACTGTGGGCAACTCAAATCCAATGCCATAAACGTAATTGTCTATTAAATTCCCCAGCTTTATTTAAAAGACAGGAACTCAGTCATAAAACCTTCCACTAAGTACTGCTAGAAAATGACAATGGCTACCTGATTATGGACCAAGAGGGAAAACACCAGAAGTCAAAGAGGTAGTTTGGAAGGTGGTAGGTAGTGTGGTTCCAGAGAGCATCAAGCTTCAAAACAAGCAGAAACATTCATTCCTAAAACACATATTTATTAATTCTCTATCAGATGCCATGGAGCACAGTGGTGGATAAGGAAGACATGGTCTGGCCGTAACAATTTTGAAATCTAATGAAGCAGATTAAAAAGATAAGTACTTACAATAAAAGTGTGGAAATTCTAACAATAGGGGAAGTATAGGGCAGTATGTGATCACTTGGCAGCCAAACTTCTTGCTTCCTATGTAAGACTCTCACAGTCAGACTGGAGCTGCACATCTCTGCCGCTGCACAACACATGGAGAATAGTCTGCTGTATCCTAGCCTTGCCAAGCCCTTTCAGGACCCCATGTCTTTACTGGATTGCCTGTCCACTTCCCCACGCCCCCGACCCTCATCCCCGCATATTATTTTGTAACATATTTCTTCATGGTATCCCAGCTTTAAAGTCTTCAATGAAACCTTTTAAACTCCTACAGTTATTGTATATGTTGTGTTTCCACATTTCTTTATTTAGATGCCTCTAATAGCAAGAAAAGTTATATTGTAGTTTATTAACTTATTTACTGCATCTCTCAATATCCTGAGCTCCTAAAGGAACTCCTGAAAGTTCCTCAGCACTTAGCGTGACAACTAGTACATAGTACCTGCTGTATTCTATAAATGTCCTTTATGTGAGTAAGTCAGTGTAAATGTTTTGGTGCAGCATTATACTTTGGTAAAATAGTACTATGTTAATATTACTAACATTTACATTTATTCCTAAGAAAGGAAACCATAAGAATAATTCATGGTTATATTTTCTAGAGACTAGGCTTGTTTCGTCCAGTATGGTACTCAATAGCCATATAAAGCTATTTACATTTAAATTAATTAAGATTAAATACAATTGATAATGTGGTCCTTCAGTTGCACTAGCCACATTTCAGATTCTCAGTAGTCACATGTGCCTCATGGCTATCATATGGGATAGTTTAGAAAAACATCTTCGTCTTCACAGAAAGTTTTATTGTACAGCTCTGGTCTAGACCTTTGATGGGATGCACATTTGTTCAGACTCTGAGATCATATAACTTAAATATCTCCACCTAGCAACCATATACTCTAACTACATTTTCAGTTATTTTGAATGGGTAATAAGCATTTGAATGGAGGATATTTCAGTGTTGGCTGATATCTGATATTAAGTAGAGCTTTAATCAATACAGTGCATGCCTAGAATAATGGTAAGAATCCCAAGTGGCTATTTAATAACAGATGAGAGATTCTTTTGAAGAGCAAGCTTTGTGTAGACTTGGGAAATAGAATTTCCATTCTCTACAAAATATTGTAATAGTTGTGTTTGTGTCTACAAACTTAAGTTGAATTTTGATATGTAGATGATGGGGGAGGATTGATGGTGTCTTCAGCTGCACTCTGTACATGATTTGTGACACTATCCTTAGACTCACTTTAAAATATGAAGGGCAATAAAATATTGCCACATTTATAATTTGAATTGATGGCTACCCTGATAGCATATCAAGTGTGATCTGGTAAAGTTCCTCCATGATAAATTTTAAAAAAATAAAATTTGAAGCATTTTTTCCTTGTCTGTCAAGAAAATACAACTGTAAACTTTGAAATACTTTTCCTGGTTCAACTAGGAAAATAAAACTAAGTAACTACAATTGGGTATTGTCAAGCAAATCAGTATTCACTGTTTGTCACATAGGGAAATTACCAAGACATAGTGTTAATTGTGTCACTGACATTATCCTATTGTAATGAAGGATTTAAAAATTATTTTAATCCCATAATCAAAAATGGTAGTGAACATCCAAACATAGCAAATATTAGTGCCTTAGGAAAACACTATGATTCATGAGTAGAAGGAGAGGAAAAAGACCACTGAAAAAGAGGAAAGTAATTAGAGCAGCAAAAAATTATAGACGAAGGATAGTTAACAATAACTCTACAGAGTTAAGGACAAGGAAAATAATGCAGAACCACTGGCTATTACAGCAAAAAGGCTATGCCTTTTACTTTATTTATTTATTTATTTATTTTTAAAAATAGAGATGAGATCTTGCTCTGTTGCCCAGGCTGGTTTCAAACTCCTGGCCTCAAGTGATTCTCCCACCTTGGCCTCCTTAAGTTCTGATTTTACAGGTGTGAGCCATCGTGCCCAGCCAGGCTGTGACTTTTAACAGGGGATTGTTTCTTTTTTTCCTGCCATGGTTGCAATAGAAGTCAGATTGTAAGAGCATAAAGAAGCCATATTAGTGTGGAGACAAAAGTGACTCCACCTTAAATGCTAATCTGCTATAATGATTTTTGAGTATCCTCAGTCCCATGAATGCCTCCTGATTCCTACTTTATTTACTGTCCCTAGAGAAAGAACATGTCAATCTTGATGTTATCCCACAGTTTACAGACTATGATGAATATATAGCATTGTTGCCTGTTCTGGAGGATTGCCTTTAATTATCTTGCATAGAGAGCACTTATACCCTTTCACTGTAGTATATAAGCTCTGGGTTGGGAGGTAACAGGTTTAGAGATCTACCTGTCTTGCTGCTGCCCAAGACCACACTTCCGTCTGTAAGTTACCTCCATCACTGACAAACTGGATTTTTCTACCTCATTCTTTGATTTCTCAGCTCCTCTGGCATTTGGGGGGAACTTTGCATATATGGTGGCCCTTTCACAGAACAGTCAGCATTCTCCAGAGTAACAGAGAGATTATAGTAATTGGCCCATGTGATTATGGAGGCTGAGAAGTCCCATGATCTGCAAGCTGGAGAACCATAGAAGTTGGTGGTGTAGTTCAGTCTGAGTTTGAAGGTCTGTGAACCAGGAGTGCTGATGTCCGAGAGGAGGAGAAGATGGCTGTTCAGCTCAAGCAGAAAGCTAATTCACTGTTCTCTGCCTCTTTGTTTCATTCAAGCCCTCAAGGGATGGTATAATGCCTACCCAAATGGGTGAGAGCGTCTTTTTTACTCAGTCTACCAATTCAGATACAAGTCTCTTCTGTAAACACCTTCACAGACATACCCAGAAATAATGTTTTACCAGATATTTGGGCATCCTTTAGCCCAGTCAAACTGACACATAAAATTAACTGTCATAGAAGGACTACCTCGTTAGCAACTAAGAACAATGGGACTTAGAACAAAGACCTCATCAGGTATTAAATTGGAAGAAGATACATTAATGAAAAGAAATGTTATGGTACTGTTGAAGATGGAGGCAGCAAGACCCTCCGAGGCTATAGAAAAAATAGCGTAATAAACCCAGAAAGGCTCTTCAAGATATCTATGTTAGTGTTCTACCTAACACAGCAATAATTTCTTTGCAAAGCCCCTGGCAGATTATTTAGTTTTGCTTGGATCCTTAAGGTGATGAAGTGTTCCCTTTTTAGCAAGGTAAATGAATCTGTTTTTGGACAGATGTAACTCTTAGAAATTTCTTCCTTGTACTGCTAAAGCAAGGTCTGTTTCCCTGTAGCTTCCATATGGTTTCCTTAAGTGATAAACAGACTGACTGTAATATATCTTTCCTATGACAGCCCTCCAAATATCTGAAGTATGTCCCTCCTGTTTTCTTTTTTTAAGTTAAGCATCCCAGATACTTCAATTTATATCTCCTCACAAGATTGCCAGACCTCTTAATATTTTGGCTGCCCAATCAGAATAAAGTTGTTGAACTCTAGTTTGCCAGTGTCAATTTTAAAAAGTAATGTCCAGAAGGAATTTTGTATTTTGCATGTAGTCTGACTGGAACAGATAAGAGACAGTGAAATTAATTTTGTTAGATATTTTACACTTGTTAATTGGACTCTTGGCCTAAACTGAACTGTAATGAATGTACCTGTCTGGTATTTATCTAAATTGCCATCAAACCAGGTTTAGTCTATTCTGTAGCTGAAAAAATTAATTTTATTTGATAAATTTTACCTTGTTCGTTTTGATCCATTCATTCATTTATTCATTCATTGTTTCAACAAATACTTTTTGAGGTCAGCATTGTGGCAGTCTTCGTTATGCCCTGAGATTACCAGAAAGTACAGGTTATTCCAATTAGTTGAACAACTTGAGATCATTTTAAAATGTAAATCTAATATTCAACATTGTTATTTTTACATCACCTGTCATCTATAAATTTCATAAACATGATTGTATCTTTATTCAGTTAATAACAAGATTAAAAAATCAAGGACATATTGTGATAAGCTGGTGATTTTGAATCATCAGGATTCTAGATTTAAAAGTTTTTGGAGACAGAACATTTAACGGTGTGATTTATTTATTTTATAGAAGAGAGTTAATATATAACTTAGAGTTTGATTGTCTTAAATACCGTATTTCTCTTTTTGTCCCAGGGGAAGATCACAGAATGCTGCCTTGCTTGTGGAATTATAGAATTCAAATCTATCAGTTTTATAGGGAGTAATTTTTCAAGACTTACTCTTAAGGAATTCATACTGATTCCTAATAATCATCATTTTCTTAATCTAAATCCTACAAAGCCATTCATTTAATCATTTGTTTTAGAATGTTTCCTGCTTTCCTGTATGTTTCTTTTTCTTCTTACTTTAAAGCAAGGTTTAAACATCCCTTTTGATATTTTTAGGTTTTGTCGGGGTGTAGGGAGCAAGGTTATTCTCACTGTGACCTTTGCCCTGCAGCAGTAAAGCAATAACTAGCATCATTTCTGCTTTGTATTGTTTTATCATTTCTACATCATGTTTGTAGGCTGACGAATGAAGTCAAATGCTTATAAATGCTTTGTAAACTATAAAATTCTCCATTTATATATATTTCTGCCCCACTTATTTCTCATTAATGTTACTTGTGATTATATTGTCAGAATTCCTTAGAGCCACATTTTTGTGAATATTGTGCTGCAAATATATTTATTTGTTTGTAAGCACTAAGTATTCTTTTGTTCCCAAGAAAACAAATTCTATATGAGTCTTTTCTGGTTCTGTTTTTCTTTTGTTTCAATCTCTTCACAATATTGTATTTAGAGCCAGATTTATCAGCCCCAGGCATCTCTTGCTTTCCTGTGTCTACTTCTTCACAGTATAACTCTCAGGCAAAATGACAAAAAGGCAAATTCACAAAGGAACCAGTGAGTGTTCTTGTCAGTGCTTGGGTTCCATTCTCAAATAAGCTGAAAGTTCTTCTATTTCATCAACAGAATGTGATTTAAAGGGATATATTGCCAGCTTGTATCACTGCTAAACAGTGGTGTGTCACTGTAGAGCAAATAGTCACAAGAATACATTCTCAGGAAATATACAGTTATATCTATGCTTTCTGCCAAGCAAGGAGAAACGCAGACTGGCTCAAATCTCCAGAAACGACTTGCATCCTTCTTTATTTCTTACACCTTTTCTTTTCTTCATCTCCTATTTCTTCTTTCCCCATGTCCTCCTCCTGCTTTCACAATTTCCTTCTCCTCCTTATTCTCCTTCTCTTTCACCTCCCCGTCTTCTTCCTTACGCGTTGATTATGCCAGTAAGATGATATCTTGTAAAGAAATGGAATACTTTTAGCAGATGCCACACTATAGCCACAGTAGTGACATCTGGAATTTGTCAAAAGCCACAGTTGGCATCCCTAAAATTCACCTGCCTGGATTCTGTTCTGAGAAGATTGTGTCTGCAAGAAAGTCTGGCCAAGTTCCTAAAAGAGGCAAAATCAAGGATAGATGGCATCTATCCTAGTTCACGTGAAGGTTAAAAGCGTCTTCAGGTACTTAGATACATAGATATACAGGCTCTGTTATTACAAACTTTCAAGGCAATTCTTATGTTCTTATGTATTTATTTGCTTTTTGAATCACAAAATTTATGCTTATATTTTAAGCAGATGGAGTTTGTTTATGAAGAAGTGATTATTGCTGATACTCATTATTACACATCAGAGTAGTTATATTTCTATGTAATTTTTTGCATGGAGTAGGCATTTGTGGTCTTGCTCTACATCTGTTTGATCATAGCAATTCCAGTTGATTTCACAGGGTCAGCAAATACACAGCACATAAGCTAACACTCTTCCTTCTTGTACCCACAGTAGACCACTAATCAATTATGGCGTTTGTCTTGCTAAGCCAGGAAACAGCTTCAGAATCCTTCTCAAACAATGTTTCAGACAGCTGCTATTAATATGTCAGAGTTGGCACTTGATGAGAAATACAGTTGCCATTCCAGATTAAGGCCAACACCCCCCACCGCCCCAAAAAACAGCCTCATAAAAAGACCTCTGAGCAGTGGCATCAGAAATCTAAGGGTCACTGATGGAGTATGACAGGAATCTAAGACAGAGAGAGATCCTAATTTCCCAGGAGCCAGTAATGCAGAGTGGATAATTCTGGTTTGGACTTAAGGTAGATGTAGGATGGAAGTAAAAAAGAAAACATACATTGGGACTGGGTCCTTAGATCTATAAATTGTTTATTTGGGTAGCCATTACTCAGATTTCTCTCATTCTATAGAGTGGTTTTTTAGAGTTTCACAGTGGTACCTAATTGTGACAATACGGGTCTTTCCTATGATTAGTGACCCAATAGAATAGTGAAAAGGAAAGTATTTGTTTTTGTACAACATAGAGGCATGAGTGCCTTCTTTTAACCCATTGATTCCCACACTTTGATCTTGAGAAACTTACTGTCTTAAACCTTCTGAAGACCTCCCAAAGGGCTTTTGTTTATATGGCTATAACTTTCAAGATTTATCATATTTAAATTAAAATGGAAAAATGTTAAAATAGTTATTGAAAATGAAAATAGTAAATGCCTGTTTACTTAAATAATATTTAATCTCACAGATCCCCTGAAAGATTTTGGAGAATTTCCTGATTGGCACTTTGAAAACTGCTGCTGTAACCAATTCTGTGATGACTGCTGACTTGATGTAAGGTGAATGCAGAAAGTCTCCTGCTAGGACTCTCCCTGGCATTGCCTCATTCACAAAAAATTTCAGACACTATATATATCAATTCAGATAATTCATTCAGTTAAATGTTTATTAAATATATTTTCAAATTGTTTATTGATATATAATTATTCTATCAAGGACACATATAAAATAATTAGGTATAGAAAAATATAAGAAAGAAAAGGAAATCAAGATTAGGAAAAAATAACAATGCAGATATTCAGACCATATAGTACTATAAAGTTGGCTCATTATTTTGCTAATGTGTTTACTGAGCACCTGTTCTAGACATAGGAAATGCATGGATGACTACAATTGCCCCAGTTGTTATCTCATTGAGGTTACATTATATTGTACTTGTAAAATATGCACCCCCACTCATGGCTTTAGGCAATACAAATGAACAAAAACAAAAACCAGCCAAACAAATATATCAGTTAAAAGATCATTGACCAAAATGTTAAATGGAGTACTCTGAGGAAGCAAAGAGTTTTGGAGATATGCAAAATAATTTTCTTATAGTACATTTCCTAATTGACTTTATAAAGCTGTTTCTTATAGTCTTCATTAATGAAAGTTAAAGAGGCATGAGAACAAAGTGCTGCTGAGAATATTATATCAGTTAACTTTTGCGAAAACAAAAGTATAATCCATTTGTTGCCAATATTATCAGACTGTGATTCTAAAGTGAAACTACCTTTCTTTTTTACGTCCATGTTTTCATAGTATAAGCCCCTCCTGGTCCATTAAAAATGTAGTACTGCCAACCTAAAGTTAGTACCAGGGCTTCACCTTATACCAAGAGAGCTGAGAAATGTTGGGGAGCACAGATCATTTGATGCATAGTGAATACCTGATATAGCTGGTAGTTTGAAGTAGTAGCTCCTTAGATGATTTTTTTTTCCAGAAGGGGTAAGAATGTTATGTGTTATAGATGGAATTCTGTCCTTCCAAATGTATATGCTGAAGTCCTAACTCCCTGTACCTTAAAATGTGACTGTATTTGTAGATAGCGTTTTTAAACAGTAAGTAGGTTAAAATGAGGTCATTAGGGTACTCTAATCCAATATGCCTGTTGTCCTTATAAAAAGGTGTGCTTAAGACACAGACACCTACAGAAGGAAGACCATGTGAAAATACAGGGAGAAGAAAGCTATCTGTAAGCCAAGAAGTGAGTAAGGCCTCAGAAGAAAGCAAAGCCTGCCAACACCTGGATCTTGGATTCTGGCCTCCAGAATCATAAGAAAATACGTTTCTGTTGTTTAAGCTACTTGGTCTGTGGTACTTGGTTACAGTAGCCCTAGCAAACTCATATGATTCTGTGATGAGGGGAAAGAACTGTTGAAAGGTGAGCAATCAAAGATACAAGGAAAAGGAAAAGGGAGGTGGAGGAGTGGTGGGGATCAGAGCAAGAAAATATCGGGGCAGAAAAGTATGGGGCAAAGTCATAGATAGGTGGTGTGTGTATTAGTCGATTCTTGCATTGATATAAAGAACTGCTTGAGACTGAGTAATTTATAAAGAAAAGAGATTTAATTGGTCAGAGTTTTGCAGGCTGTACAGAAAGCATGGCTTGAGAGGCCTCAGGAAACTTACAAGCATGGCAGAGGTGAAGAGGAAGGAGGCCCATCTCACATGGCTAAAGCAGGGGGAAGAAAGAGGGAAAGGGGAGGTGCTATGGACTTTTAAACAACCAGGTCTCTTGAGAACTTACTCACTACCACAAGAGTATAAAGGGGGAAATCTTCCTCCATGATCCAGTCACCTCCCACCAGGCCCCACCTCCAACACTGGGGATTACAATTCAACATGAGATTTGGGTGGGGACAAAAATCCAAACCATATTATTCCACCCCGGCCCCTCCCAAATCCCTTGTCCTTCTCACATTGCAAAATACAATCCTCCCTTCTCAACAGTCCCCTAAGTCTTAATTCATTTCAGCATTAACTCAAAAGTCCACAATCCAAAGTCTCATCTGAGACAAGGCATTCCCTTCTGTCTATGATCCTGTAAAATTGAAAGCGAGTTAGTTACTTCCAGGACACAATGGGAGTACAGGCATTGGGTATATATACCCACTCCAAGAGGGAGAAATCAGCCAAAACGAAGGCACTACAGGCCCCATGCAAGTCCAATACCCAGAAGGGCAGTCATTAAATCTTAAAGCTCCGAAATAATCTCCTTTGGCTCCATATCTCACATCCAGGCCACACTGATACAAGGGGTGGACTCCCAAGGCCTTGGACATCTCCACCTCTGTAGCTTTGCTGGGTACAGTCCCCTCAGCTGCTTTTACAGGATGGTGTTGAGTGCCTGTGGCTTTTCCAGGCACATAGTACAAGCTGTTGGTGGATATACCATTCTGGGGTCTGGAGGACGGTGGCCCTCTTCTCACAGCTCCACTAGGCAGTGCCCAGTGGAGACTTTTGTGTGGGGCCTCCAACGCTACATTTCTCCTCTGCACTGCTGTAGTAGAGATTCTCCATGAGGGTTCCATCCAGGCAGCAGACTTCTGCCTGGATATTGAGGTGTTTTCATATATTCTATGAAATCTGGGCAGAGGCTCCAAAGCCTTAACTCTTACCCTCTGTGCACCCACAGTCTTAGCACCACATGGAAGCCACCAAGGCTTACAGCTTGCACCCTCTGAAGCAGCAGCCTGATCCATATCTGGGGCCCTTTTAGCCATGACTGGAGCTGGAGTGGCTGGGACACAGGGAGAAGTCTCCCAAGGTTGCTCAGGGCAGCAAGGCCATAGCCTGGTCTACAAAACCATTCTTTGTTCCTAGGCCTCTGGGCATGTGATGGGAGGGGCTGCCATTAAGCTCTCTGAAATGCCTTCCAGGCATTTTCCCCATTGTCTTGGCTACTAACATTAGGCTCCTCTTTACTTTTGCAAATTTCTGCAGCCAGCTTGAATTACTCCCCTGAAAATGGGTTTTTGTTTTCTACCACTTGGCCACATTACAAATTTTCAAAACGTTTATGCTCTATTTCCCTTTTAAATATATGTTCCAATTTCAGACCATCTCTTTGCTCATGAATATAAGCATATGCAGTTAGAAGCAGCCAGGATACTTCTTGAACACTTTACTGCTTAGAAATTTCTTCCACCAGATACCCTAAATCATCTCTCTCAAGTTCAAAGTTCCACAGATCCCTACAGCAGGGGCACAATGCCACCAGTCTTTGCCACAGCATAGCAAAAGTAACCTTTACTCCAGTTCTCGATAAATTTCTTATCTCCATCTGACACTACCTCAGCCTGGACTTCATTGTTAACAACAATTTAACAAGTCTCTAGGAAGTTCGAAACTTTCCCTCATCTTCTTGTCTTCTTCTGAGCCCTTCAAATTGTTCCAACATCTGCCCATTACCCAGTTCCAAAATCGCTTCCACATTTTCAGGTATCTTTGTAGCAATGCCCCACTTCTCTGGTACCAATATTCAGTATTAGTCCATTCTTGCTATAAAGAACTACCTGAGACTGACTAATTTATAAAGAAAAGAGATTTAATTGGCTCAGAGTTCTGCAGGCTGTACCAGAAGCATGGCTTGGGAGGCCTCAGGAAATTCACAAGCATGGCAGAAGGTGAAGAGGAAGGAGGCACGTCTCACGTGGCTGAAGCAGGGGGAAGAGAGAGGGAAGTGTGAGGTGCTACAGACTTTTAAACAACCAGATCTTGTGAGAACTCACTCACTATCATGAGAATAGCAAGGGGAAAATCTAGCCCCATGATCAAATCACCTTCCACCAGGCCCCGCCTCCAACACTGGGGATTGCAATTCAACATGAGATTTGGGTGGGGATATGAATCCAAACCATATCAGTATGGTGGGCCAAACAATAGCATCAGGCTGAGCATGGTGGCTCATGCCTGTAATCACAGTACTTTCGGTGGCCAAGGTGAGTGGATTGCTTGAACTCAGGAGTTTGAGACTAGCCTCAGCAACATGGTGAATCCTGTCTCTACAAAAAATACAAATATTAGTGAAGTGTGATGTTGTATGCCTGTAGCCCCAGCTACTTGGGAGGCTGAGGTGGGAGGATGGCTTGAGCCCAGGTGGCGGAGGTTGCAGTGAGCCAAGATTGTCCCATGCACTCCAGCCTGGATGACGGAGCCAGATCCTGTCTCAAAAAGAAAAAAAGCACCAAAAGACCTCCATGTCAAATTCCCAAAACTTGTGATTTTTACCTTATATTATAAAGGATGGGATAAAGTCAAGGCTCTGAGAGGAAATGTTTATCCTGGATTATCTGAGTCAGTCCTAAATACAATCACATGTATCCTTATAAGGAAGGAGAGACAGTTGTGAGACAGACACAGAGAGGACAGATACACAGAAGAGGAGAAGGTGATATGATGTTGCCTCAAGCCAGAGAACACTGGGCACCCCCAGAAGCTGAAAGAGGCAAGGAAAGAAGAAATTTCTGTTGTTTTAAGCCACCAAGTGTGTGGTCATTTGTTACAGCAGCCACAGAGAACTAATATAGATGGATTGAGCTTGGATATCAGAAAATAAATTTCTTCCTTTCAGACATGGGGTAGAAAAGTAAGGATGTTCATACACTGATTATCTTGGTGGAGGTGATGGTGGTGATATTGTAGGTAAAGTAATTACAGACTATTCATTTTGTATGTAATAATGCATCAAGAACTTTTCTGATTTTTTATTTGTTAGAAAACTCAGAGTTTAGACCAAATCCTAAATATAATAGAAAACATTGAGTTTTTAAAAAAACTTTTGACCATTTATACCAACCAACTGTAAAGCTTCTTCTTTTATATCTTTCAGCATTTAGTTATAAATAATGAATCAGGAAACAAAGGGCCAATAATGACATAATGAACTCCTTAAGGTACGCATAATGTTTCATAAGTTAAGTTAGAAATTTCCAATTGCTTTTTCTAAAATGGAAACAACTGTATAACAAGATTGCTTCTTTGAAATACTGTAAAAGTATAATGTTCTAGATTGTTATATACTGCAACATATTAAAGCCTAATGGATTTTCCTCATGAAAATCTGTAATACTGCTATGATTGAATACTTCTTCAGAACTTGGTAAGCATGTTGCTTTTTTAAAATCTTGTATTTGTCATAGTACTTATTCTGGCAGGTGGGGGGACATTTGGGTGATGCTTGTTGTTAACAGAAGGACGAATTAGTTTTGCAGCATGAATTGGCATTCTATAAAATTCATTCACAAAATAATTGCTTACTGGGGATTTTCATCATTATAACTGAGAAAGAGGAGGCACATCTGTGCTCTTTTGCAATATGAGACAGTCATTTTTCAAACAAATCATACATGCAACAATAGATAGGAATATGGCGGGAAAAAGATTCAGTGGTTCTATCTGAGCCCGTGATTCCAATACCAGAGGCAGAATTGAGATTCAAGTCTATAACTGTACCAGGAAAAGTCATAATAAGGGTATAGGGGGTTGATACATTTAACTTCTGTCTATGACAGCTTTCTTTGGATAATTTGGTAGAAAAAACAACATGCAATAAAAACATCTTTAGAAGTCTTAGATTATTACTAATTATTTATGGGATTGGTTTCAGAAATTTGATACCTTAACATCTTAAAGAAAAAGGAAGGCCAGGTACATTGGCTCAGACCTGTAATCCTAGCACTTTGAGAGAGCAAGGAGTGAAGATTGCTTAAGGCCAGGAGTTCAAGACAAGCCTGGGCAAAAGTGTGAGACCCCCAACTCTACAAAAAACAAAACAAAACAAAACAAAAAACAAAAAAACCTAGCTGGATATGGATATGGTAGCACGTGCCTGTAGTCGTAGCTACAGGAGGCTAAGGTGGGAGGATTGCTTGAGCCCAAGGGTTCAAGGCTACAGTGAGCCATGATCAGCCCATTGCACTCCAGCCTGGGTGACAGAGTGAGATCTTTTCTTTAAAGAGAGAGAGACAGACAGAGAGAGAAATACTCTCAACAGGCAGCATGAAATCATGTTCTAAATCCACACTTCTTTTTTTTCCTGAAGATATTTGTTCAATAACATACGAGCCAAATAATGGAAACTGACATCGTGTGTGTGTGTGTGTGTGTGTGTGTGTGTGTGTGTGTGTGTGTGTGTTGGGGAGGAGCTAGGTATGCAGGAGAACCAACCACCAGGGGAATCTCCTAGTACTTCCTGAATCCCAAAGGTTCTTTGCCTCTAATATCTGACATCCTTCACTTCCTTTTCCTTCTCTTTGCAACCACCAGCAACTTGACTTACGTGTTACTTGTGTTTAGGTACAATGTATTAGTTTTGTTTGTTTGTTTTTGTTTTGTTTTTAGATGGAGTTCTCTGTTGTTGCCCAGGCTGGGGTGCAATGGCGAGATCTCAGCTCACTGCAACCTCCACCTCCCAGATTCAAGCGATTCTCCTGCCTTGGCCTCCTGAGTAGCTGGGATTACAGGCATGTGCCACCACGCCTGGCTAATTTTGTATTTTTAGTAGAGACAGGGTTTCTCCATGTTGATCAGGCTGGTCTCGAACTCCTGACCTCAGGTGAGCTGCCCGCCTTGGCCTCCCAAAGTGCTGGGATTACAGGTATGAGCCATCGTGCCCAGCCAATGTCATTAATTTTTATACCGACAGATATATATAGCACAGTGCCTTGAGGTGAAATATTAAATTGCCACTTTATACATGGATTATTACAATTGCTATTTAACTGTTTTGAGGATTCCAGTTTACATTTTATATTTATATTAAAACCATAATTATATTGAATGTAATTCAAGTGATGCCATTTGTGCTTTTAAAATCATTTAAAATGTTTTGTGTGTTCTAAAATGTTAATGACTAGTGGTCAAATAAATGAAGTATAGACTCCTAAAAATCTCCTGAAATAGCCCAACCCAATCTATCCCCAAATTAGTGTCCCGATTGCAGCCTAATCTCCTCAGCACCCTTCATGAAGGCTGGCATTCAGCCACATGCCACATTGTTGCCCTTCTGGAAATATGCCAGATTCTTTCAGGGCACGGAATATTTGCAAAGAATGTTTTACCTTTCTGAAATACCCTTTCCTTCTTCTTCAGTCCTGGCAAAGTTAGTTTCTTCCTCTTATTTTTTCATTAGGCTTTATCTACTCTCCTCTTAAACAATGTAAGGATCTTAGAAAACTTTACCCTTTCCACTTAAATAATTTTTAAACTTTATTCTATTATTTTTTACTCCCCAAATTCATTGTAAATTTATCCAAAGTTTAACATCTATTTTCCTCTATGTTTTATTTTTCATCTACTATTTCTTTCTTTCTTGGTTTTATTTTTTCATTGTAAAAAACTAAGGTGGACTTGTTAGTAGTTTTTTCTGCAAAAGGCTATTAGTAGTAAAACTATTATAGTCTATATTTGTCCAGCATCAAATCTACCAGAATGGCTAAAATTAAAAAGACTGACAGTAACAAGTATTGATGAGTATGTGAAACACTGCTGGTGGAAATATAAGTAAATACAACAATTTGGAAACATTATTTGGTATCATCAACTAATGCTGAACATAATAAACAGCTTATACCCCTAGGTAAAATCCAACAGAAATGCGTACATATTGTGGCAGGTTGAATAATTGTCCCCCAAGGATGTCCATATCCTAATACTCAGAACCTGTGAATGTTACCTTATATGACAAAATAAAATTTGCAGGTGTGATTAAGTTAAATGTGTTGAGATGGGGAGATTATTCTCAATTATCTGAGTGGTCTCAATGTAATCACAGTGATCCTTATAAAAGGGATGCAGGAGAAGTCAGAGTTGGAGAGAAAGCAATCGATGACTGAAGCAAGCAGAGCATGTAGTGATGTGGCCACAGTTCAATGAATACTAAGTCTAAAAGCTGGAAGGATCAAGGAACAGACTCCTCCTGGAGACTCCAAAAGAAATCAGCCCTGGCTGGGCGTGGTGGCTCATGCCTGTAATCCCAACACTTTGGGAGGCTGAGGCGGGCGGATCACGAGGTCAGGAGATCGAGGCCATCCTGGCTAACACGGTGAAACCCCGTCTCTACCAAAAAAATAGAAAAAATTAGCCGGGCACGGTGGCGGGTGCCTGTAATCCCAGCTACTCGGGAGGCTGAGGCAGGAGAATGGCGTGAACCCGGGAGGTGGAGCTTGCAGTGAGCCGAGATCGTGCCACTGCACTCCAGCCTGGGCAACAGAGCGAGACTCCATCTCAAAAAAAAAAAAAAAAAAAAAAAAAAAGAAGAAGAAATCAGCCCTGCTGACACCCTTGTTTTAATCCCATGAGCTCCATTTCAGGCTCCGACCTCTAGAATTCTGAGAATGGGGACTTAAATTGCTTTTGTTAATGGTAGTCCCTATGCCTAGACAGTGTAAGTGCTCAATAAGAATTGTTGAACAACAACAAACTGTGTGAATGAATGAATGAGTGCAAATGTCTTTATTTCACTCTTATTTGGATGGGTAAATTGGCGTGGTATAGAATTCTAGATTGATGACTATTTTTTTCAGCACTTTAGAGAGTTTTCTGGCTTTTCTTTTATTTTCCCAGCCATTATCTCTTTGAATACTGTGCCTCCTTCATTTTCTCAATTCTTCCCTTTTGTAACTGTTACTGGACTTTCTAGCCATGGTGTCTTTAAATCTGTCCTTCATTTTATCCATCTGTTTATTTCCTCCTGTTGCTCTCTGGATATTTTGTTCAGATCACATCCAGTTCATTTATAGTTTTGTTTAACTCATCCACACAAAGTGCACAAGTCACAAGGGTGAATCTCAACAAACTATTACAAAGTAAACACATGCTGCAACTAGGTCAATAAAATTCTGTCATTGCCAAGAAGCTCCCTCATGCCATCTTCCAATCACTATGGCTTTCTTTCTATCTAGAGGTAATCATTCCTTTAATATTTCCATTAGAGGAATCTACCAGCAATGTCAGTGGGTCTACTGACAACAGATGCTATTGTTGTGGTCTGCAAATATCCTAGTTTGACTTTGTTCCTCAAAGACATTTTCATTGACTATAGAATTTTAGATTGGCAGTTATTTTCTTTTGGTACTTTGAAAATACATTTCAGTGTCTTCTGGCTTCGTAGTTTTTATTGAAAAGGCAATTATGATTCTGATTATGATTCCCATCAAGGTAGTCTCTTTTCCTTCCCTATAGATGATCTTATGATTTTCTAATTTTTCTTTGTTTTTCATTGATTTCACTATAATGTGCTATGTGTAGCTTTCTTTGTATATATCCTTTTTTGGGATTCCTAATACTATCTGAATCTGCAGCTTAATCTCTTTTTCCAGTTGTGAAAAATCCATAGCCATACTCTCTTCAACTATCTTTCTGCTCCATTTTTCTCTCCTTTTCTTCTGGGACTCCACTTACACATTTGTTGGAACTTTTAATTGGATCCCCGATGTCTTTCCTATGTAATTTTCTCTATTTTTCCTTCTTTTTGTCTCTTTATACTTCATCCTGGGTATTTTCTTCTGACCAATTTACCAGGTGATTTATTCTTTTTTCATCTATGACTAATTTACTGTTAACCCATATATTGAGTATTTTTTCAGTAATTGCATTTTTTCATATCTAGAATTTTCATTGGATTGTTCTTTACATTTTTAGCTATCTGACAATATTTTAAATTATGTCTTTTATTTCCTTGACTATATTAACATCTATTTCTAATAACTTTATAATTTTGAATTTTCTCTTGTCTGTTTCTGATATCTGTTTTTCTCTTGGTTGTGATCATGTTGTCTTGTCTCCTTGTTATTCTAATTATTTTTTAATATAAACTACCCATTTTATACAAAGTAGTAGAGATAATTTAAGTGTGTAATATCTTCCACCAAAGAGGATTTATATATTTTTTTCTAGTAGGTGGCTAGTAATTCCAGATCACCTTGATATAATCAAGGCTTATAAAAGCCCACTTAAAAAATCATAAACACGGATTTCTAGAGTATATTTCTTTGTGGTCTCAAAGCCCCAGATGTTTGCCACTTGCCTGTCCTAGGCAGGCAATGAACTCCAATTTTTGTTCCCTTGGCACCATGAATCTGTTCAAAGTTTTGCAAAGCTCCTGATTCTCTCAGGTGCCTCTTCTGATATGAGCGTGGACAGAAAAAAAAAATGGCACCAGTTGCAGAACTCTTCTGTCTTTTTCATTTTCTCCCCTAAATATCTTGATCTTTTAATTCACCCCTGCCTCTTTAATGTTCAAATGACATAGAACAGATTTTTAAAAAAATATTTTGCAAGTATTAATAGTTGCTCTGAGCCTGAAGCTTGATCTGATTTACTTTGTTTGCAATTACTGGAAGTCAGGAGCAATTGCAAGATATTCACAGCTATAAGTTCCATTCTATTATTTTAAAATTTTTCTTCTTTTTTTAATAGATTCTTCCTCTTTTATTATGTCTTGGTTTCTTTTGTAGGTCTTCTATTTTTATTCTAAAGATAGCTACTTTATACTGTCTGGTCAATATTCGTGTTATTGGAGGTCAGAGGATATAATCGTATTGTTTACTGTGGGTTTTTAAAAAAGGAACTCTAAATGCACATATTAGTTCTATCCCTTAATTTTTTATGGCCTTAAGCAATTTGCTTGCATTTTTTAAGGCTTAATTTTCTCATCTCTCTGAAATGGAAACTGTGTTAAATATAATTTTCATAGTTAACTGTGTGACATAGTTTTTTTTAACCTGTTGTTTTAATATAAATGGTAAAGAATCTTGGATTAATTTTTTTCTACCAGAAAATGAATTAAAATTAAAATATAAATATCTTACAGGATATGAAACTTGGTATTTTGGAGCTCTCTGTAATCACAGTTATTCATTACAGCATTATCTTGACAGATAGTACACCCATCTCTACTGATAAAGAAACATGGAGATTTCTGTTTCCAGCAACATAAAAAACTAGATCACCTACTGTGAGATGTGCTATATATAATTCAACAAATTCTTTAAATTCACAAGGGAATTCCCTATTGTCTGAAAATTTTTAAAAAGAAGGAATTTGGTATGGTAAGCCAATACCAGACTTGTGACTGCATGACAGTATTTTATGATGCCAAGAGACTTGTGTTTTCATGATTCAGTAATACCTTGTGCCTACCTAAGGTGGTTTATATAGTCATTTCCTTCAAAGGGATTTTTTTTATAGAGTCTTGCTCTGTCACCAGGTTGGAGTGCAGTGGCATGATCTTGGCTCACTGCAACCTCTGACTCCCTGGTTCAAGTGATTCTCCTGCCTCAGCCTCCCAAGTAGCTGGGATTACAGGCATGCACTACCATGCCCAGCTAATTTTTGTATTTTTAGTAGAAACAGGGTTTCACCGTGTTGGCCAGGATGGTCTCAATCTCCTGACCTTGTGATCTGCCCGCCTTGGCTTCCCAAAGTGCTGGGATTACAGGCGTGTCCCACTGTGCCCGGCCCAAAGGGATATTTTCACAGTGAAAAGACAAACCAGGAAAAAAAGAAGTCTACCCACCAGCAAAGACACATGACAAAGTTATTTGTTTGTTCTTGGCCCTGACTCTAGGTAGGACAAATATAATGTATTTCTTAAGAGTTCCTAGATATAGCCCTGGCTTATATGGAATTGTTATTTGTATTTTTATACTCATAAATCTAAAAATTAATTTAATGTGATCATGAGTATTTGGCAGAAGAGAATAAAATTACTCTTTAGAAATATCTACATTTAACTCAGACTCCCTCAATATTTCCATACATTTAGATTAACTGAACTCTAAATTCCAAACTATAAAACTGATGAAACAAGATATCATGAGTGAGAAGTAGCATGAAAAACAAATAGTAGAGTTAGAAATGCTGCATGGCATTATTGTTTGCTTTACTTTGTGTTGTTTTTTAAAGACAAAATAGACTGAAGCATGATTATAGGTCAAGAGGAACACATATTTGATAAGGAAGAGCCTGGGGAATAATTGATGGGAATCTTGGAGTAGACCAGAAGAGAGAGGATCAGGAGTAGAGACTGGAGGGAGACGACCCATTCATTCCTGGAGGAAGGGAAGCTGAAATTGAAATGTTAAATTAAAAATGGACAGGAATGATCTCCGTTCCAAGATGACCGAATAAGAACAGCTCCGGTGTGCAGCTCCCAGTGTGATCGACACAGAAGACAGGTGATGTCTGCATTTCCAATGGAAGCACCTGGTTCATCTCACTGGGACTGGTTGGACAGTGGGTGCAGCCCATGGAGGGTGAGCCAAAGCAGGTTGGGGTGTCACCTCACCTGGGAGGTGCAAGGGGTCGGGGGATTCCCCTTTCATAGCCAAGGGAAGTGGTGACAGACTGTTCCTGGAAAAACTGGACACTCCCGCCCAAATACTGCACTTTTCCCATGATCTTAGCAACTGGCAGACCAGGAGATGCCCTCCTGTGCCTGGCTTGGTGGGTACCGCCCCCATGGAACCTTGCTCACTGTCAGTGCAGCAGTCTGAGATCGACCTGCAAGGCAGCAGCCTGCTGGCGGGAGGGGAGTCTGCAATTGCTGAGGCTTGACTAGGTAAACAAAGCTGCCAGGAAGTTCAAACTGGGTGGAGCCCACCACAGCTCAGTAATGCCTACTGCCTCTGTAGACTCCACATCTGTGGGCAGGGCATAGCTGAACAAAAGGCAGCAGAAGCTTCTGCAGACTTCAACGTCCCTGTCTGACAGTTCTGAAGAGAGCAGTGGTTCTCCCAGCAGGGCATTTGAGCTCTGAGAATGGACAGAGTGCCTCCTCAAGTGGGTCCCTGACCCCCGTGTAGCCTAACTGGGAGACATCTCCCAGTAGGGGCCAACAGATACCTCATGCAGACAGGTGCCCCTCTGGGAAGAAGCTTCCAGAGGAAGGATCAGGCAGAAATATTTGCTGTTCTGTAATATTTGCTGTTCTGCACCCTCTGCTGGTGATACCCAGGCAAACAGGGTCTGGAGTGGAGCTCCAGCAAACTCCAGCAGGGACAAGCAGTTCCCTGCAGCTGAGGGACCTGACTGTTAGAAGGAAAACTAACAAACAGAAAGTAATAGCATCAACATCAATAAAAAGGACATCCACACCAAAACCCCATCTGTAGGTCACCAACATCGAAGACCAAAGGTAGATAAAACCACAAAGATGGGGAGAAAGCAGAGCAGAAAAACTGAAAATTCCAAAAACAGAGCACATCTTCTCCTCCAAAGGATCACAGCTCCTCACCAGCAATGGAACAAAGCTGGACAGAGAATGACTTTGACAAGTTGACAGAAGTAGGCTTCAGAAGGTTGGTAATAACAAATTTCTCCAAGCTAAAGGAGCATGTTCTAACCCATTGCAAGGAAGCTAAAAACCTTGAAAAAAGGTTAGGTGAATGGCTAACTAGAATAAACAGTGTAGAGAAGACCTTAAATGACCTGATGGAGCTGAAAACCATGGCACAAGAACTTCGTGACACATGCACAAACTTCAATAGCTGATTCGATCAAGTGGAAGAAAGGATATCAGTGACTGAAAATCAAATTAATGACATAAAGCAAGATGACAAGATTGGAGAAAAAAGAGTAAAAGGAAACAAACAAATCCTCCAAGAAATATGGGGCCATGTGAAAAGACCAAATCTATGTTTGATTGTTGTACCTGAAAGTGACGGGGAGAAAGGAACCAAGTTGGAAAACACTTTTGAGGATATTATCCAGGAGAACTTCTCCAACTAGCAAGGCAGACCAACATTCAAATTCAGGAAATACAGAGAACACCACAAAGATACTCCTTGAGATGAGCAGTCCCAAGACACATAATCATCAGATTCACCAAGATGAAATCAAGGAATAAATGTTAAGGGCAGCCAGAGAGAAAGGTCGGGTTACCCACAAATGGTAGCCCATCAGACTAACAGTGGAACTCTTGGCAGAAACTTTATAAGCCAGAAGAGAGTGGAGGCCAATATTCAACATTCTTAACCAAAAGAATTTTCAACCCAGAATTTCATCTCCAGCCAAACTAAGCTTCATAAGTGAAGGAGAAATAAAATCCTTTACCGACAAGCGAATGCTGACAGATTTTGTCACCACCAGGCCTGCCTTACAAGAGCTCCTGAAGGAAGCAGTAAACATGGAAAGGAACAACCGGTACCAGCCACTGCAAAAACATGCCAAATTATAGAGACCATCAATTCTATGAAGAAATTGCATGAAATAATGGGCAAAATAACCAGCTAACGTCATAATGACAAGATCAAATTCACACATAACAATATTAACCTTAAATGTAAATGGGCTAAATGCCACAAGTACAAGACACAGACTGGCAAATTTGATAAAGAGTCAAGACCCATCAGTGTGTTGTATTCAGGAGACTCATCTCACATGCAGAGACACACACAGGCTCAAAATAAAGGGATGGAGGAAGATCTACCAAGCAAATGGAAAGCAAAAAAAAAGCAGGGGTTGCAAACCTAGTCTCTGATAAACCAGACTTTAAACCAACAAAGATCAATAGAGACAATGAAGGCCATTACATAATGGTAAAGGGATCAATTCAACAAGAAGAGCTAACTATCCTAAATATATATGCACCCAATACAGGAGCACCCAGATTCATAAAGCAAGTCCTTAGAGACCTACAAAGAGACTTAGACTCCCACACAATAATAATGGGAAACTTTAACACCCTACTGTCAATATTAGAAAAATCAACGAGACAGAAGGTTAACAAGGATATACAGGACTTGAACTCAACTCTGCACCAAGTGGACCTAATAGACATCTACAGAACTCTCCATGCCAAAATCAACAGAATATACATTCTGTAAAAGAACAGAAACCACAACAAACTGTGTCTCAGACCACAGTGCAATCAAATTAGAATTCAGGATTAAGAAACTCATTCAAAACTGCTCAACTACATGGAAACTGAGCAACCTGCCCCTGAATGACTACTGGGTACATAAAAAAATGAAGGCAGGAAAAAAGATGTTCTTTGAAACCAATGAGAAAAAAGACAAAATGTACCAGAATCTCTGGGACACATTTAAAGCAGTGTGTAGAGGGAAACTTATAGCACTAAATGCCCACAAGAGAAAGCAGGAAAGATCTAAAATCGACACCCTAACATTACAATTAAAAGAACTAGAGACGCAAGAGCAAACAAATTCAAAAGCTAGCAGAAGGCAAGACATAACTAAGATCAGAGCAGAACTGAAAGAGATAGAGACACAAAAAACCCTTCAAAAAATCAATGAATCCAGGAGCTGTTTTTCGAAAAGATCAACAGAATCGATAGACTGCTGGCAAGACTAATAAGAAAAGAAAGAAGAATCAAATAGACACAATAAAAAATAATAAAAGGGATAACACCACCGATCCCACAAAAATACAAACTACCATCAGAGAATACTATAAACACCTCTATGCAAATAAACTAGAAAATCTAGAAGAAATGGATAAATTCCTGGACACATACACCCTCCCAAGGGTAAACCAGGAAGAAGCTGAATCTCTGAATAGACCAATAACAGCCTCTGAAATTGAGGCAATAATTAATAGCCTACCAATGAAAAAAAGGCCAGGACCAGATGAATTCTACCAGAGGTACAAAGAGGAGCTGGTACCATTCCTTCTGAAACTATTCCAATAGGAAAGAGGGAATCCTCCCTAATTCATTTTATGAGGCCGGCATCATCCTGATACCAAAACCTGGTAGAGACACAACAAAAAAACAGAATTTTAGACCAATATCCCTGATGAACATCGATGCAAAAATCCTCAATAAAATACTGTCAAACCGAATCCAGCAGCACGTCAAAAAGCTTATCCACCACGATCAACTTGGCTTCATCCCTGGGATACAAGGCTGGTTCAACATACACAAATCAATAAACGTAATTCATCATATAAACAGAACCAGCGAAGAAAACCACATGATTATCTCAATAGATGCCAAAAAGGCTTTTGACAAAATTCAACAGCCCTTCATACTAAAAACTCTCAATAAACTAGGTATTGATTGAACATATCTCAAAATAATAAGAGCTATTTATAACAAACACGCAGCCAATATCATACTGAATGGGCAAAATTTGGAAGCATTCCCTTTGAAAAGTGCTATAAGACAAGGATGCCCTCTCTTACCACTCCTATTCAACATAGTGTTGGAAGTTCTGGCCAGGGTAATCAGGCAAGAGAAAGAAATAAAAGGTATTCAGTTAGGAAATGAGGAAGTCAAATTGTCCCTGTTTGCAGATGACATGATTGTATACTTAGAAAACCCCATTGTCTCAGCCCAAAATCTCCTTAAGCTGATAAGCAACTTCAGCAAAGTCTCAGGATACAAAATCAATGTGCAAAAATCACAAGCATTCCTATACACCAATAACAGACAAACAGAGAGTGAAATCATGAGTGAACTCCCATTCACAATTGCTTCAAAGAGAATAAAATACCTAGGAATCCAACTTATAAGGGATGTGAAGGACCTCATCAAGGACAACTACAAACCACTGTTCAATGAAATAAAAGAGGACACAAACAAATGGAAGAACATTCCATGCTCATGGGTAGGAAGAATCAATATCGTGAAAATGGCCATACTGCCTAAGGTAATTTATAGATTCAATGCCACCCCCATCAAGCTACCAATGACTTTCTTCACAGAATTGGAAAAAATTACTTTAAAGTTCATATGGAACCAAAAAAACCTGCATTGCCAAGACAATCCTAAGCCAAAAGAACAAAGCTGGAGGCATCACGCTACCTGACTTCAAACTATACTACAAGGCTATAGCAACCAAAACAGCATGGTACTGGTACCAAAACAGAGATGTAGACCAGTGGAACAGAACAGAGACCTCAGAAATAATAATACACATCTACAACCATCTGATCTTTGACAAACCTGACAAAAACAAGAAATGGGGAAATGATTTCCTACTTAACAAATGGTGCTGGGAAAACTGGCTAGCCATATGTAGAGAGCTGAAACTGGATCCCTTTCTTACACCTTATACAGAAATTAATTCAAGATGGATTAAAGACTTTAATGTTGAACCTAAAACCATAAAAACCCTAGAAGAAAACCTAGGCAATACCATTCAGGACATAGGCATGGGCAAAAACTTCATGACTAAAACACCAAAAGCAATGGCAACAAAAGCCAAAATAGACAAATGGGATCTAATTAACCTAAAGAGCTTCTGCACAACAAAAGAAACTACCATCAGAGTGAACAGGCCACCTATAGAATGGCAGAAAATTTTTGCATAGTACCCATCCAACAAAGGGCTAATATCCAGAATCTACAAAGAACTTAAACAAATTTACAAGAAAAAAACAAACAACCTCATCAAAAAGTGGGCAAAGGATATGAACAGACACTTCTCAAAAGAAGACATTTATGAAGCCAAAAAACGTGAAAAAATGCTCATCATCAGAGAAATGCAAATCAAAACCACAATGGAATACCATCTCACACCGGTTAGAATGAAGATCATTAAAAAGTCAGGAAACAACAGATGCTGGAGGGGATGTGGAGAAATAGGAACGCTTTTGCACTGTTGGTGGGAGTGTTAATTAGTTCAATCATTGTGGAAGGCAGTATGGTGATTCCTCAAGGATCTAGAACTAGAAATACCATTTGACCCAGCGATCCTATTACTGGGTATAAACCCAAAGGAGTATAAATCATGCTGCCATAAAGACACATGCACACGTATGTTTATTGCAGCACTACTCACAATAGCAAAGACTTGGAACCAACCCAAATGTCCATCAGTGATAGACTGGATTAAGAAATTGTGGCATATATACCCCATGGAATACTATGCAGCCAAAAAAAGGATGAGTTCGTGTCCTTTGTAGGGACATGGATGAAGTTGGAAACCATCATTCTCAGCAAACTGTCACAAGGACAGAAAACAAACACTGCATGTTCTCACTCATAGGTGGGAATTGAACATTGAGAACACGTGGGCACAGGGAGGGGAACATCACACACTGGGGCCTGTCAGGGGGAGGGGGACTAGGGGAGAGAGATAGCATTAGGAGAAATACCTAATGTAAATGATGAGTTGATGGGTGCAGCAAACCAGCATGGCACATAGATAACTACGTAACAAACCTGCACGTTCTGCACATGTACCCTGGAACTTAAAGTATAATAAAAAAAATGGACAATGATTTGAAAGACTCTTGGCCAAATTTTCTATTTATTTATTTATTTATTTTATATTTTAACTTCTATTTTAGGATTGGGGGTTCATGTAAAGTTTTGTCACACAGGTAAACATGTGTCACAAAGTTTTGTTGTACATATGATTTCATCACCAAGCTATTAAGCCCAGTACCCAATAGTTATCTTTTCTGCTCCTCTACCTTTTCCCACCCTCCTCCCTTCTGATAGACCCCAGTGTCTGTTCCTTCTTTGTGTTCCTAAGTTCTTATCATTTAGCTTCCATTTATAAGTGAGAACATGAGGTATTTGGCTTTCTGTTCCTGTGTTAGTTTGCTAAGGATAACATCCTCCAGCTCCATCCAGGTTCCTGAAAAAAACATAATGTCATTCTTTTCCATGACTGCATAGTTTTCCATGACTGCATAGTATTCCATGGCGTATATGGGATAGTATACATATACACCATGTGTATGCATATATCTTTTCTTTAATCTGTCATTGATGGGCATTTAGGTTGATACTATGTCTCTGCTATGTGTATAGTGCTGCAATGAACATTTGTGTGCATGTATCTTTATGGTAGAATAATTTGTGTTTGGATATCTTCCCAGTGATGGGATTGCTAGGACAAATGGTAGTTCTCCTTTCTCAATGTATTAGGTAGTATGAAGGAAGTGAGAGTGGCTAGTTTAATTGGAAGCTTGAGGACATGGGTAAAAGTTTGCATTCTCCGTGGAGAATCTAAAAGAGAGAAGAAAGGAATCTCAGAAAGGAATTCTTCATTCTGTATGTAGAATCAAAGGAAGATTAAACAAGAAAAAGTAGGACAGCTGATCAGTGTTGAGAGCACAAGTATGGACACGAAAATTTGAATGATTTTCGTTCTGTGAGGTTGTGTGGCATTTCCTGTCAACTCTGGAAAGATGGAGAAGCTGTAAAATCCATAATTATAACTGAAGGCATATTTAGAGCAAGAGCAAATATGTAACTGAAACTGTTATGTCAAGAAAAAGATGAAATTTCATTCAATATTCAGAGTTTAAGAAAGAATGAATTGCACATGAGAATTCTGAAAGCATTTGTTGAAGTTGAAATGATTAAAATTTTTAAAGTTTTCATGCCAGAAAGAATAAACATTAGCTGTCAAAAAATTCATTTAAATGGATAAACACTGAGCAAATGAACTCTTCCTGGATTTTTTACTTATTACCTGATTAAATTGATTGGCAAAAAATTTAAATTGTTTTTCTTTTTCTCTAAATCTATATGTCAAAGTAAGAAACCCAAAACAATCAACCTTGTAACTCTTTTAAGCAAAATATTCAGAAATTGTTTAGGTGCCAGGCATGTTGAATTTGAGATCCTGACAGCCAAAGAGCAAGTGCATATATGCATTTTAAGTAGTTTCCTATATCATTATTTCAATGCCACTGCAATCATTCACTGTGTTAGGTGCTCCAATCATTTATTGATCTTCTGGTAACTAGCATAGCAGCTGCAACAAAAGCCCTACCATGTTTCTGTCTAGAATCTCTGCTGCCCCACAGCACCTGCTGTGTACCCCTCACGGGGAGTTTATAAAGAACATTAGATAACATAGAGGCTTGTTTAGCTTAGTGCTGCATTTAGTTTTGGTATTGAGGAGTTCATAGGTTGCCAATACTTTCGTTTTGTTATTTTATTATTGTTATTTTTATTATTGTTTATTATTGTTATTTTATTATTGTGGTGTTTGTTTCAAAAGACTGAATGTTAGAATGAAGTATATTTTAGGCCTGACTAAAATGTTATCAGGGCCAGGAAATTTGGTGAGATTTCTTTCAACAAAAATCTCTTAGGCTCATAGTGCAACTCAATTCTAGGAAGCTCAAGAAAGCTACTAGTTTCAACTCATCCAGTTGCCAGATGCTAATCTCTTGATAGCATGCTGCTTCAGCATTCATTCATCTATCGCTTGCTTTGGTTTCTGCCTTAGAAAAAGACAGGACCGAATGCAGAGAAACTGAAAATCAAACAAACATACTCTCTGAGAATATAGTTAAAGGAAATAAGGTTTTTATTTATGAATGCGGCAAAGGTTACTGTTTCTTACAAAATGATAGTGACATAAAATAAAAACAATGACTCTGAAAAGAATGCAAAATAAGCATCTCAGTGTTTAAACTTGCATCATAAATCCCATGGGTTTTATTTTATAGGAAACGCTTAGGTCCTGATTCAGAGCCTACTCACTGTGTTTTATATAAAATTCCTACATGCTTAATTATTTACTTTCTGAGCTTACAGATGGTATATGGAGTGTGTATATCTAGGTAATCCTGAGAAAACCACTAGACTGTAAACTCCATGAGAGCAGAGACCAGATTTATTTTATTTGATTTTGGATTTCCAGTGTTTAGCACATTCCTGCTGTATAGCAGCTGGACAAGAAAAATTTAACAAAGAAATGAATGATAATTAATTGGAAGTAATCAGGGAATCTAGACCTGTCTTAATGAAACAGATGTGAGATATATCCTCTGAAGCCTAAAAAATCAAAGTGGTGATGCTAACAGTGTTGCCTTTTAGAGATAGTTGGAATGGAAAAATATTTATTTTTTTCCGAGGTCTGCCAGTTCTGTCTTGAATGACCTAAACCATGAAATTTATACCTCAGAATATTGGCAACTATTTAGATCAAACGAAACTCAACCATCTTCAAAAAAGTGACCTTTCAGAGAAAGTTGCTGTTCTTTTATTGACTTCTTAAATCAAACTTATTTTTAATGTGTCCCACATGTTTAAAACATAGTCTGCATCAAACTTAACTCTAAATTATGATGCATCTGAACCTAAATATTGTCTCAACTAAAAATTTTTAATCAAAATAACAGTGCACTTACTGGCTTAATTCAACATGGGGGAGCTGATGTTTCTGAACCCTGGAGGCTAATCCTATGATAGCAATAGTCCTTGAGTAGTGTAGATTCTTTTGCTTCTATTTTTGAAGAAAGGTAATGAATATAAAGGTAATGAATATAAAGGAATATAAACATCAGAGTTCTACTTCATTAAAATGTGGTTTAAAATGAGGTGAAAACTGTCAGAATATTCTTATTATCATGTGTTATGAACAGAGTATGCCAGGGAATAATTTATTCATCTAGAATGAGCGTGCTAACTGTAAAACCCTTTGGTTAAAAGCACAGACTCTGAAGCAGACTAAAGTGCTTAAATCTTGGCTGTGTCACTTACCAGCTATATGACCTTGGTAATACTTCATCTTTTTGGGCCTCGGATTTCTCATTTGTGAAATGATGGTAATAATATTACCTATTTAACAGGCTTGTTGTGAAGATTCAATGAGTTAATATGAAGTTCATAGAAAGTGCCTGGAATAGTGGCCGGGTGTGGTGGCTCACACCTGTAATCCCAGCACTTTGGGAGGCCGAGGCAGATGGATCACGAGGTCAGGAGATCTAGACCATCCTGGCTAACACAGTGAAACTCTGTCTCTACTAAAAATACAAAAAATTAGCTGGGCATGGTGGCAGGCGCCTGTAGTCCAGCTACTTGGGAGGCTGAGGCAGGAGAATGGTGTGAATCCGTGAGGCAGAGGTTGCAGTGAGCCGAGATTGCACCACTGCACTCCACCCTGGGCGACAGAGCAAGACTCCATCTCAAAAAAAAAAAAAAAATAAAAATAAAAGTGCCTGGAATATAAGTGCTAAATAAGTGTTTGGTCACTCATTGTTTCTCATAAAGTGACACAAAACTTTAATCATTCTTTGGAGAAAGTTATGTGAAAAGGAAGAGCAGCATGCAGTCATAACATTAATTCCATCAATTCCTTGGCTGTATCTCTGTGCAATTAGGCAATCGTTTTATTGCTAGTGCTATTCCAAGGTTATTTCACTTCAGTGGGCCTAGGAAGGCTTTAATGCTGACTTCTTTCCCATCATGAGCAGAGTAATGGGTCCTTTGGATACCAAACCCCTTGGTGTAGCTTACTTGGCTTAAATTAATGTGCTCTGTTCAACCAGTCACACCTTCCTTACCCCCAGGATCCCACAGCGTCTCTCATTCTTGCCACCACCAAAGCAGCCTGCCAGCTTGTACTTGCCCCTCGAAGTTCCCAGGCAAGAGTCAGAGAAAGGTTCCCTGTGTCCTCCTAACTCCATGGTATGGATCAGACACTTACATGTGCAGATCCTCTTTCTCCCTTGGCTCACAGCACCCTGGCAACTCTCACCAAATAAATCCTCCTTCCAAATCCTTTCTCCAGTCTTATTGTTTACTCCTTATTACTTGCCATGTGGGTTTTAGGGTTGTCTAACTAGTTCTCAACAATACCACTTGGAAAATGTGTAAGTACTACTGGATGTTGTCCCTTAATTCATTTTAATATCTGATGTTCACATACCTTGGTGTCTCAGTTAAAATTTCTTATTTTCTTATAGAAGCAATAGCCTGGTTCTATAAAGACATTAATGATATTTTTTAAATAAAGTTTTAATCCAGACTTTCTGTTCCTGCAGATTCCTTTTGTGCAGTGTGTGTTTTTCTCTGCTCTTTATCCTTCTTCCTGCACCCTTTTTTTCAAGAGTCTGGTGGTCCTCGACTGCCCTCATTTCAGACAGAGGAACTGCACACTGACTGGAAACTCTGTCTGCATGTGTTGATTGGACTGTACACTGTGGCCTCTCTGCAGGGCAATCTAGCTGGCATTTCCACTGTGGAACACTAGCAAAAATGAATGTGTTAGGTCTTTCATCCAGGGATGATTATGCCAAGAAAAGAATCCTCCAATTTCCTGCTTTTGAAGTATGGGTGGTAGATAGGATCTGGATTGTCAGTTTTCTAAGCCAAAGTGAAGGAGACAGGGGTTTCACCATTCATAATGTAGACTTTGCTGATTCTCCTGTTTCAAGTATTGCATCTCACTCTTGCCCTCAGCCGTGATGTTATCTGTAAGTCTCGAACCTCTGTGGGCCAGATCTTTGGATTCTCCTGGTTCTGTCTGTCTTGTACCAGTATACAGTGGATCTGTGTGTGTGATGAGTGAGGAAGGGGATAAGAGACTTTCATCCAGTCTTCCTGTGAACAGCGTCATTTATACCTTCACTAACAGAGATACTTGACCCTCCAATTCCTAAGCCTTTCTGCAGGTCTGCAAACTTTGTTTGCCAGATAAGGTTGCTATTTATCCTGGTAACTGAAGACAAAGGGCATATACTCTTGGGAGTTCTGGAACAGGTGTTGGTTTCCATGACTGAGAGACCCATAGATGGTTCACATCACAGGACTCTGTGCAGACAACCCCCAGTACCAGCCTGGAGCCTGGTAGACTTGCTAGGTTGCTAGATCCAGAACAGAGATAACAATCACTACAGCTCAGCTCTCAGAAAGCAACATGCACAGGAAAAAGGGAAGAGTACTACATCAGGGCAACATCCTATGGGACAAAACAATCTGAAAAACAGCCTTCAGCCCTAGACCTTCCTTCTGACAGAGCCTGCCCAAAGAAGAAGGAACCAGAAAACCAATTCTGGTAATATGACAAAACAAGGTTATTTACCACGCCCGAAAAATCACACTAGCTCACCAACAACGGATCCAAATGAAGAAGAAATCCCTGATTTACCTGAAAAAGAATTCGGGAGGTTAGTTATTAAGCTAATTAGGGAGGCACCAGGGAAAAGTGAAGCCCAGTGTAAGGAAATCAAAAAATGGTACAAAAGGTGAAGGGAGGAATATTCAACGAAATTGATAGCATAAATAAAAAGTAATAAAAACTTCAGGAAACAATGGACACACTTATAGAAATGCAAAATGCTCTGGAAAGCCTCAGCAATAGAATTGAACAAGTAGAAGAAAGGAATTCAGAGCTCGAAGACAAGGTCTTTGAATTAACCCAATCCAACAAAGACAAAGAAAAAAGAATAAGAAAATATGAACAAAGACTCCAAGAAGTCTGGGATTATGTTAAACAACGAAACCTAAGAATAATGGGGATTCCTGAAGAAGAAGAGAGATCTACAAGTTTGGAAAACATATTTGGGGGAATAATTGAGGAAAACTTCCCTAGCCACGCTAGAGACCTAGACATCCAAATATAAAAAGGACAAAGAACATCTGGGAAATTCATCACAAAAAGATAATTGCCTAGGGACATTGTCATCAGGTTATCTAAAGTTAAGATGAAGGAAAGAATCTTACTTAAGAGCTGTGAGACAGAAGCACCAGGTAACCTATAAAGGAAAACCTAACAGATTAACAGCAGATTTCTCAGAAGAAACTGTACAAGTTAGAAGGGACTGGGGCCCTATCTTCAGCCTCCTCAAACAAAACAATTATAAGCCAAGAGTTTTTTATCCAGTGAAACTAAGCTTCATATATGAAGGAAAGATACAGTCATTTTCAGACAAACAAATGCTGAGAGAATTTGCCACTACCAAGCCACCACTACAAGAACTGCTAAAAGGAGCTCTAAATCTTGAAACAAATTGTGGAAACACATCAAAACGCAACCTCTTTAAAGCATAAATCTCACAGGACCTATAAAACAAAAATAAAATTTAAAAAAACAAAAACAAAAAGCTAAAAGTTAAGGGATACATGCAATAAATAGCACAATGAATGCAATGGTACCTCACATCTCAATACTAACATTGAATGTAAATGACTCAATCTCCACTTAAAAGATACAGAATTGGAGAATTATAAAAATTCTTGCTACCTTCAAGAGACTCACCTAACACATAAGGACTCACATAAACTTAAGGTAAAGGGGTGAAAAAGACATTTCACACAAATGAATATCAAAAGTGAGTATGAGTAGCTATTCTTATATCAGACAAAATAAACTTTAAAGCAACAGCAGTTAAAAAAGACCAAGAGGGACATTATATAGTGAAAAAAGGCCTTGTTTGACAGGAACATATGACAATCATAAATATATATACACCTAAGACTGGCGCTTCCAAATTTATAAAACAATTACTAATAGACCTAAGAAATGAGATAGAAGCAACACGATAATTGTGGGGGACTTCAATACTCCACTGACAGCACTAGACTTGTCATTAAGACAGAAAGTCAACAAGGAAACAATGAATTTATACCATGGAACAAATGAACTTAACAGATATATACAGAACATTCCATCCAACAACTGCAGAATGTACATTCTATTCAACAGCATATGAAACTTCCTCCAAGATAGACCATATGATAGGCCACAAAATGAGCCCAATAAATTTAAGAAAATTGAAATGATATCAAACAGTCTTTCAGACCATAGTGGAATAAAACTGGAAATCAACTCTAAACCTTTAAAATCATGTAAATATCATAGACATTAAGTAGTCTTCTCCTGAATGATCATTGTAGTCAAAATGAAATCAGCATAGAAATTACAAAATTCTTCAAACTGAACGACAATAGTGACACAAGCTATCAAAACCTCATGGATACAGCAAAGGCAGTGAGAAGTGGAAAGCTCATAGCCCTAAACACCTACATCAAAAAGTCTGAAAGAGCACAAACAAATAATCTAAGGCCACACTTCAAGGAACTAGAGAAGCAAGAACAAACCAAACCCAAACCCAGCAGAAGAAAGGAAATAACCAAGATCAGAGCAGAACTAAATGAAATTGAAACAAAAAGAAAATTATGAAAGATAAATGAAACAAAAAGCTAGTTCTTTAAGAAGATATATAAAATTGATAGACCATTAGCAATATTAATCAAGAAAAGAAGAAAATCCAAATAAGCTCAATAAGAAACAAAATGGAAGATACTACAACTGACAGCACACAAAGATCATTCAAGGCTGCTATGAACACCTTTACACACATAAACTAGAAAACTTAGAATAGATGGATAAATTCCTGGAAAGGTGCAACCCTTCTAGCTTAAATCAGGAAGAATTAGATACCCTGAACAGACCAATAACAAGCAGCAAGATTGAAATGGCAATTAAAAAATTACCAGCAAAAAAAGTCCAGGACCAGACAGATTCACAGCAGAATTCTACCAGACATTCAAAGAAGAATTGGTACCAATCCTATTGACACTATTCCACAAGATAGAGAAGAAGGAATCCTCCCTAAATCATTCTCTGAAGTCAGTATCACCCTAATACCAAAACTGGTAAAAAACATAACCAAACAAGAAATCTGCAGAACAATATCCCTGATGAACATAGATACTAAAATCCTTAACAAAATACTAGCTAACTGAATCCAACAACGTATCACAATGATAATCCACCATGATCAAATAGGTTTCATATCAGGAATGCAGGGATGGTTTAGCACATGCAAGTCGATAAATGTGATACACCACATAAACAGAATTGAAAACAAAAATCACATGATTATCTCAATAGAAGCAGAAAAGCATTTGACAAAATCCAGCATCCCTTTATGATTAAAACTCTCAGCAAAGTTGGTATATGAGGGACATACCTCAATATAATGAAAGCCACCTATGACAAATTTATAGCCAACATAATACCGAATGGGGAAAAGTTGAAAGCATTCCCTCTGAGAACTGGAACAAGACAAGGATGTCCACTTTCACCATTCTGCTTCAACATAGTACTAGAAGTCCTAGCCAGAGCAATCAGACAAGAGAAAGAAATAAAGGGCATCCAAATCAGCAAAGAGGAAGTCAAACTGTTGCTCTTTGCTGATGATATGATCATTTATGTAGAAAACCCTAAAGACTCTTCCAGAAAGCTCCTAGAACTGATAAAATAATTCAGCAAAGTTTCTGGATACAAAATTAATGTACACAAATCAGCAGCTCTTTTATCCACCAATAGCGACTAAGCTGAGAATCAAATTAAGAACACAACCCCTTTTACAATAGCTGCCGGAAAAAACAAAACAAAACAAAAAAAACACTTAGGAATATACCTAACCAAGGAGGTGAAAGACCTCTACAAGGAAAGCTACAAAACATTTCTGAAAGATATCATAAATGACAGAAACAAATAGAAACACATCCCATGCTCATGGATGAGAGAATAAATATTGTGAAAATGACCATACACCAAAAGCAATCTAGAAATTCAATGCAATTTCCATCAAAATACTGTCATCATTCTTCACAGAATTAGAAAAACAATTCTAAAATTCATATGGAACCAAATAAGAGCCCATATAGCCAAAGCAAGAGTAAGCAAAAAGAACAAATATGGAGGAAACACATTACCTGATTTCAAACAATAAGGTTATAGTCACCAAAGCAGCACGGTATTGGTATAAAAATAGGCACATAGACCAATGGAACAGAATAGAGAACCCAGAAATAAACCCAAATACTTTTAGCCATCTGATCTTTGACAAAACAAACAAGAACATAAAGTGGGGAATGGACACTCTTTTCAACAAATGGTGCTGGGATAATTGGCTAGCCACATGTAGGAGGACAGTGGATCCTCATCTTTCACTTTATACCAAAATCAACTCAAGATGGATTAATTACTTAAATCTAAGACCTGAAACTATAAAAATTCTAGAAGAAAACTTTGGAAAAACCCTTCTAGACACTGTCGTAGCAAGGATTTCAAGACCAAAAACCCAAAAGCAAATGCAACAAAAACAAAGATAAATAGCTGGAACTTAATTAAATGAAACAGCTTTTGCATGGCAAAAGGAACAGTCAGTAGAGTAAATAGACAACTCACAGAGTGGGAGGAAATCTTCACAATCTATACATCTGACAAAGAACTAATATCCAGAATCTACAACGAACTCAAACAAATCAGCAAGAAAAAAACAACCCCATCAAAAAGTGGGCTAAGGACATGAATAGACAATTCTCAAAAGAAAATATACAAATGGCTAACAAACATATGAGAAAATGTTCAACATCACTAATGATCAGGGAACTGCAAATCAAAACCACAATGCGATACCACCTTACTCCTGCAAGAATGGCTTTAATAAAAAAATTAAAAAATAGTAGATGTTGGCATGAATGCGGTAAACAGGGAACACTACTACACTGCTGGTGGGAATGTAAACTAGTACAACCACTGTGGAAAGCAGTGTGGAGGTTCGTTAAAGAGCTAAAAGTAGAACTATCATTTGATCCAGCATTTCCACTACTGGGTATCTACCCAGAGCAAAAGAACTCATATGAAAAAGATATTTGTGCACACATGTTTATAGCAGCACAATTCGCAATTGCAAAAATGTGAAACCAACCCAAATGCCTACTGATTAACGAGTGGATAAAGAAACTGTATATATATATGATGGAATACTACTCACCCATAAAAAGGAATGAATTAATGGCATTCACCGTGACCTGGATGAGATTGGAGACCATTATTCTAAGTGAAGTAACTCAGGAATGGAAAACCAAACATCATACGTTCTCACTTACAAGTAGGAGCTAAGCTATGAGGATGCAAAGGAATAAGAATGACACAATGGGCTTTGGGGACTCAGGGGGAAAGGGTGGGAAGTGGGTGAGGGGTAAAAGACTACAAATAGCATGCAGTGTATACTGCCTGGGTGGTGGATGCACCAAAATCTTACAAATCACCACTAGAGAATGTACTCATATAACCAAACACCACCTGTTCCCCAATAACCTGTGGAAACAAAAAATTTTTTTAAATTAAAACTTAGAAGAAAAAAAGGATGTAACAGAATGATAGGCTGGTGGTAAAATCTGTCTAATCTTGTTCAGTAGAAGGCATAACTTGTGAAAACTGCCTGATATAATATGGTGTTGCTGTACAGGGATACCTTGTCTTACTGCACTTTGCTTTATTGTGCTTCATAGATATTGCATTTTTTACAAATTGAAGGTTTGTGCCAACTGTGTTTTGAGTAAGTCTGTTGGCACCATTTTTTCAAGAGCAGATGCTCACTTTATGTCTCTGTGTCATGTTTTGGTAATTCTCACAATATTTCAAACTTTTTCATTATTGTTATACCTGTTACAGTGATCTGTGATCAGTGATCTTTGATGTTACTATTGACTTCATTTGGGGGCATTACAAACCACATCCATATAGGATGTCAAACTTAATCAATGAATATTCTATGTGTTCTGACTGCTCCATTGACTGGCCATTCCCCCATCTCTTTCCTTTTTTGGTGGGTCTCTATTTCCTGAGACACAAGAATGTTAAAGTTAGACCAGTTAATAACCTTACAATGGCCTCTAAGTGTTCAAGTGAAAGAAAGGGTCACAAATCTGTCACTTTAAACCAAAAACTAGAAGTGATTAAGCTTAGTGAGCAAAGCATGTCAAAAGCTGAGATAGGCTGGAAGCTAGGCCTTTTATGCCAAACAGTGAGCCAAATTGTGAATGCAAAGACAGAGTTCTTGAAAGAAATTAAAAGTGCTACTTCAGTGAACACATGAATGGTAAGAAAGCAAAAGAGGCTTATTGCTGATATGGAGAAAGTTTTAGTGGTCTGGGTAGAAAATCAAACCAGCCACAACATTCCCTTAAGCCAAAGCCAAATCCAGAGCAAGTCCCTAATTCTCTTCAACTCTGTAAAGCTTCAGAGAGTTGAGGAAGTGGCAGAAGAGAAGTTTGAAGCTAGCAGAGGTGAGGTCCATGGGGTTTAAGAAGAGAAGCCATCTCCAAAACATAAGAAGTGCCAATGCTGGTATAGAAGCTGCAGTAAGTTATTCAGAAGAACTAGCTAAGCAAATCAATGCAATTGGCTACACTAAACAGCAGATTTCCAATGTAGGCGAAACAGCCTTCTATTGGATGAAGATGCCATTTAGGATTTTCATAGCTAGAGAGGAGAACTCAATGTCTGGCTTTAAAGCTTCAAAGGACACACTGTTTTTCAGGGCAAATGCAGCTAGTGACTTGAAGTTGAAGCCAATGCCCATTTAGTATTTCAAAAATCCTAGGGTGTCTCTCAGAATGTTTGAGTGAAAAAAAAGAAAAATAATCCTAGTGCCCTTAAAAATTATGTTAAATCTGCTCTGACTGTTCCCTATAAATGAAAAAGCAAAGCCTGTATGACAGCACATCTGCTTACAGCATGGCTTACTGAACATCTAAATATTTTATGTCCACTGTTGAGACATACTGCCTAGAAAAACTTCTTTCAAAATATTTCTGCTCATTGACAATGCATATGGTCACCCAAGAGTTCTGATAAAATTGTAGAAGATTAATATTGTTTTTGTGCCAACGTTATTGTGTTACTGTGTAACCAATGGGACAAGAAGTAATTTTGTTTATTTTTAAAGAAATGAAATCTTGTTATGGTTCCCAGGCTGGAGTCGAACTCCTGGCCTTAAATGATTCTTCCACTTCGGCCTTCTGTGTAGCTGGTATTGTAGGCATGCACCACCATGCTTGACTTTCAAATCTCATTACTTAAGAAAGATATTTTGTAAGGCTATAGCTGCCATAGCTAGTGATTCCTCTGATGAATTTGGGCAAAGTAAGTTGAAAACCTTCTGAAAATAATTTACCATTCTAGATGCCATTTGTGATTCATGGGAGGAGGTCAAAATATTAACATTGACAGGAGTTTGGAAGAAGTTGATTCCAACCTTTATGGATGACTTTGTGGGGTTCAAGATTTCAGCAGACAAAGTAACTGCAGATGTGGAAATAGCAAGAGAACCAAAATTAGAAGAGAAGCCTGAAGATATGACTGAATTGCTACAATTTCATGATAAACTTTAATGGATGATGAGTTGCTTTCTATGGATGAGCAAAGAAAGTGGTTTCTTGAGATGGAATCTACTCCTGGTGAAGATGCTATAAACATTGTTGAAGTGATAACAAACAATTAAGAATATTCGATAAACTTCATTGATAAAGCAGTGGCAGGGTTTGAGAGGATTTACTCCAATATTGAAAGAATTTCTATTGCGGGTCAAATGCTATCAAGCACTATCACTTGCTACAGAGGAATCTTTCATTAAAGGAAGAGTTAATTGATAAAGCAAACTTTATTGTTGGCTTATTTTCAGAAATTGCCACAGCCACCCCAACCTTCAGCAACTATCACCCTGATCAGTGAGCAACCATCAGCATTGAAGCAAGACCCTCCACCAGCTAAAAGATTATGACTCGCTGCAGGCTAAGGTGATCATTAGCAATTTTTAGCAAGAAAGTATTTTTAAATTAAGGTATCTACATTGTATTTTTGTTGGAATGCTATTGCACATTTAATAGACTACAGTATAAGGTACATATAAATTTCATATGCACTGGAAAAACAAAAAAGTCGGTATGATCTCTCTACTGTGATATTGTCTTTATTGTGGTGATCTGAAACCAAGCCTGCAATATATTTGAGGTATGCCTGCCTTGTTTATGTTAGAACGTTCATAGATATATCAGGCCTAACTTAGCATCACAACTAGAACTCAGTATTGTAAATGGTTTACGTCATTTCCACATTTAGTGGAGACTTAAGCATTCATCCAGATCATAAATTTTTTTCTCCCTCCTTTTTTTTTTTTGGTATGTTTACAGTCTGGAAGGTATTGAAATATCTAAAGAATAATGAAAAACTAGAATTGGGTGAGGCCAACACTCTCATGGTCATTTCTTTCCTGTGTTATTACTTTCTGTGATACCATCCAGCACAAAATAGTATTTATCTATTTTTAATGACATCCAGGGGATAAGATTCCTCTTGGCCACTTGGACCAATGCTTAGGAGACTTCTCTGAAAAGAAGTATTTCATATGTAGCGTGAATCATTTGTGTTGCTCTTTGAGTTCTTGTGAATAAATTCGGAATTAGTTGAGCACCTGCTATGTGCAGTACCCAGGGTGAGGGCCATGAAAGGCAAAACAATATTTACAAAGTGTCTCTATCCTTATTAAATATAAGTAAGAAGGAAAATATATAAATATTCAAGTAGTTAATTAAAATACAAGGAATATGATAAATATTAATTTGTTAACAAAGAAAATAAGTGCAATATGAGACTCTAGAAACCATAGACAACTGTGAGATGGGGCGATTAGGGAAAACTTCAAAGAGAACATAACACTTACATTGAACCTGGAATTATGGTTAGGGTTTGGGCTGAAAGAGAAAAAATGAGAGTACACTCAAAGTGAAGAAAATTGGGCAACAGTGCTGTGTGATAGCAAATCTCTACATTGTGCTCAAAAACAAAGGGCAGACAACACCAATGTGGCAGAGGATTTGAGTGGGCATGCACCAGGGCCTAAGACAGGAAAGGCAGGATGGGCAAGGCTTATGAGAGGCAATAAATGCAGGTTAGGTTGTTTTGAGTATTACTAGGAAATCACTGGGTGTGGTTAAGGGGAAAAGTAACATGGTGTAAGTATTTTATGAAAATTAATCTGGCTATAAAGTACTGCCTGGTTTGGAAAGGAGAAGATTCCTTTTATGTTGCCTTTAGTATGTCCAGAGAAGGATTTGAATAAAGCAGAGCTATATGAGAATAAAAGAATAAGTACATTTACTATAGTTTACTTTTATAAAGCAGATAAGGTAATGCTAATATTATTAATTGTATTATTAAGTAATTACATTAATTGTAATATTTAGTGAGAATGTTAAATGTTGTCGAGTATCCGTGAATTTTTACCTAAAAAATTTATGTGGCCCTAGTTATGATATTTTAGTAATCATACAGTTATATCTTCTAACAGCCTAGTAGTCAATCTGGATGAACCGTACTGGGTACCCAGGAGAAAGCACACAGAATTTAAAAGTCTGTCATTGACTTGAATTTATTAGCTCTTCTTTGTTCATAAGAAATGGAAACATTCTATAAAAACCTATTTTTTATTAATAAAAATTAATAATGCCTCTGTAGAGGCATTTAACTCTACGTTTCACTCTGGCTATGGGCTTATTTCAACTTTCTTTATAATAAAGTGGAGGTACATCTTTATCTTTTTTTGTGTGAAAGATTTATGTAACTCAGGCACCAAAATATCTAGAGCACCTGCATGACTAGAAACTTTATAGTGCTAATTGGCAATATGGTACACAGCCAGATAAGCACATCAGATGAAACTCTTAAAAACAAATATTGAGGCTGGCAAGATGGCCAAATAGGAACAGCTTCAGTCTGCAGCTCCCAGCAAGATCAACTAAGAAGGTGGGTGGTATTTGCATTTCCAACTGAGGTACCTGGTTCATCTCATTGGGACTGGTTAGGCAGTGGGTGCAGCCCACGGAGGGTGAACTGAAGCAAGGTGGGGTGTCGCCTCACCTGGGAAGTGTAAGGGGTCAGGGAACTCTCTCCTCTAGCCAAGGGAAGCCTTGAGAGACTGTGCTGTGAGGAATAATGCATTCCAGCCCAGATACTATGCCTTTCCCATGGTCTTTGCAACCCGCAGACCAGGAGATTCCTTGAGGTGCCTACACCACCAGAGCCCTGGGTTTCAAGCACAGAACTGGGCAGTCGTTTGGGCAGACACTGAACTAGCTGCAAAAGTTTTTTCCATACCCCAGTAGTGCCTGGAATACCAGTGAGACAGAACCGCCCGCTCCCCTGGAAAGGGGGCTGAAGCCAGAGAACCAAGTGGTCTAGCTCAGCGGATCCCACCCCCACAGAGCCCAGCAAGCTAAGATCCACTGGCTTGAAATTCTTGCTGCCAGCACAACAGTCTGAAGTCAACCTGGGACACTCAAGCTTGGTGAGGGGAGGAGCATCCACCATTACTGAGGCTTGAATAGGTGATTTTCCCCTCAAAATGCTGCTGGGAAGTTAAAACTGGGCGGAGCCTACCACAGCTTGGCAAAGCCACTGTGGCCAGACTTCCTTTCTAGATTCCTCCTCTCTGGGAAGGGCATCTCTGAAAGAAAGGCAGCAGCCCCAGTCAGGGGCTTATAGATAAAACTCCCATCTCCCTGGGACAGAGCACCTGGGGGAAGGGGTGGCTGTGGGCACAGCTTCAGCCAACTTAAACGGTCCTGCCTGCCGGCCCTGAAGAGAGCAGTGGATCTCCCAGCACAGTGCTCCAGCTCTGCTAAGGGACGGGGTGTCTCCTCAAGTGAGTCCCTAACTCCTGTGACTCCTGACTGGGAGACACCTCTCAGCAAGAGTCGACAGACACTTCACACAGGAGAGCTCCAGCTGGCATCTGGCAGGTGCCCCTCTGGGATGAAGCTTCCAGAGAAAGGAACAGGCAGCAATCTTTGCTGTTCTGCAGCCTCTGCCGGTGATATCCAGGGAAACAGGGTCCGAAGTGGACCTCCAGCAAACTCCAGCAGACCTGCATAACAGGGTAGAATGGCGATAACTAAAAAGTCAGGAAACAACAGGTGCTGGAGAGGATGTGGAGAAATAGGAACACTTTTACACTGTTGGTTGGACTGTAAACTAGTTCAACCATTGTAGAAGACAGTGTGGTGATTCCTCAAGGATCTAGAACATAGAAATGCCATTTGACCCAACCATCCCATTACTGGGTATATACCCAAAGGATTATAAATCATGCTACTATAAAGACACATGCACATGTACGTTTATTGCGGCACTATTCACAATAGCAAAGACTTGGAACCAACCCAAATGTCCATCAATGATAGACTGGATTAAGAAAATGTTGCACATATACACCATGGAATACTATGCAGCCATAAAAAAGGATGAGTTCTTGTACTTTGTAGGGACATGGATGAAGCTGGAAACCATCATTCTCAGCAAACTATCGCAAGGACAAAAAACCAAACACCACAGGTTCTCTCACTCATAGGTGGGAATTGAAAAATGACAACACATGGACACAGGAAGGGGAACATCACACACTGGGCCTGCAGTGGGGTGGGGGAAGAGAGGGAGGGATAGCATTAGGAGATATACCTAATATAAATGACAAGTTAATGGGTGCAGCACACCAACATGGCACATGTATATATATGTAACGAACCTGCACGTTGTGCACATGTACTCTAGAACTTAAAGTATAATAATAAAAATAAAATAAAAAATCAAAAAAAGAAAAGCTTAAGCTTCAAACATTCTTAGGAAGTGTGGGGAAAAATATATGTATACATTCTAACTTTCTAATGCAGCACAGAATAGATACATAAGCAAAATAGTTGTTTTCATAATAAAGAAGATTGAATGCCAAAAAAAAAAAAAGAACATACACACCAAAATCCCATCCGAAGGTCACCGACATCAAAGACTAAATGTAGATAAATCCAAAGGTGAGGAAAAACCAGCACAAAAAGGCTGAAAATTCCAAAAACCAGAATGCCTCTTCTCCTCCAAAGGATCACAACTCCTTGCCATCAAGGGAACAAAACTGGACAGAGAATGAGTTTAACAAATTGACAGAAGTAGGCTTCAGAAGATGAGTAATAACAAACTCCTCTGAGTTAAAGGAGGATGTTCTAGCCCAATGCAACAAAGCTAGAACCTTGAAAAAAGGTTAGACAAATTGCTAGCTAGAATAACCAGTTTACAGAAGAATATAAATGACTTGATGGAGCTGAAAAACAGCACGAGAACTTCGTGAAGCATACACAAGTATCAATAGCTGAATTGATCAAGTGGAAGAAAGGATATGAGATATTGAAGATCAACTTAATGATATAAAGCATGAAGCCAAGATTAGAGAAAAAAGAATGAAAAGGAATGAACAAAGCCTCCAAGAAATATGGGACTATGTGAAAAGACCAAATCTACATTTGATAGGTGTACCTGAAAGTGATGGGGAGAATGGAACTAAGTTGGAGAATACTCTTCAGGATATTATCCAGGAGAACTTCCCCAACCTAGCAAGGCAGGCCAACGTTCAAATTCAGGAAATACAGAGAACACCACAAAGATACTCCTCGAGAAGAGCAACCCCAAGGCACATAATCTTCAGATTCACCAAGATTGAAATCAAGGAAAAAATGTTAAGGGCAACCAGAGAGAAAGGTCAGGTTACCCACAAATGGAAGCCCATCAAACTAACAGTGGATCTCTCTGCAGAAACCCTACAAGCCAGAAGAAGAGTGGGGGCCAATGTTCAACATTCTTAATGAAGAGAATTTTCAACCCAGAATTTCATATCTAGCCAAACTAAGCTTCATAAGTGAAAGAGAAATAAAATCCTTACAGACACGTAAATGCTGAGAGATTTTGTCAACACTAGGCCTGCCTTACATGAGCTCCTGAAGGAAGCACTAAATATGGAAAGGAACAATGGGTACCAGCCGCTGCAAAAACATACAAAATTGTAAAGACCATTGACACTATGAAGAAACTGTTATCAACTAATGGGCAAAATAACCAGCTAGCATCGTAATGACAGGATCAAATTCCTATGCAACTATATTAACCTTAAATGTAAATGGGCTAAATGCCCCAATTAAAAAACACAGACTGGCAAATTGGATACAGAGTCAAGACCCATCTGTGTGCTGTATTTAGGAGACCCATCTCACATGCAAAGACACACATAAGCTCAAAATAAAGGGATGGAGTAATATTTCCCAAGCAAATGGAAAGCAAAAAGAAGCAGGGGTTGCAATCCTAGTCTCTGGTAAAACAGACTTCAAAAAAACAAATACCAAAAAAGACAAAGAAGGGCATTACATAATGGTAAAGAGATCAACACCACAAGAAGAGCTAGCTATCTTAAATATATATGCACCCCATAGAGGAGCATCCAGATTCATAAAGCAAGTTCTTAAAGACCTTCAAAGAAACTTAGACTCCCACACAATAATAGTGGGAGAGTTTAACACCCCATTGTCAATATTAGACAGATCAATGGGACAGAAAATTTAAAAAGATATTCAGGACTTAAACTCAGCTCTAGACCAAGCAGACCTAATAGACATCTACAGAACCCTCCACCCCAAATCAACAGAATATACATTCTTCTCAGCATTACATTGCACTTATTCTAAAATTGACCTCATAATTGGAAGTAAAACACTCCTCAGCAAATGCAAAAAAAAAAAAAAAAAAAAAAAAAAAAAAAAACAAATCAAAGCAAAGTCTCTTAGACCACAGTGCAATCAAATTAGCACTCAGGATTAAAAAACTCACTCAAAATCACACAACTACAGGGAAACTGAACAACCTGCTCCTGAATGACTACTGGGTACATAACAAAATGAAGGCAGAAATAAAGATGTTCTTTGAAACCAATGAGAACAAAGACACAACGTACCAGAATCTCTGGGACACAGCTAAAGCAGTGTTTAGAGGAAAATTTACAGCACTAAATGCCTGCAGGAGAAAGTGGGAATGATCTAAAATCGACACCCTAATATCACAATTAAAAGAACTAGAGAAGCAAGAGCAAACAAGTTCAAAAGCTAGCAGAAGACAAGAAATAATTAAGATCAGAGCAGAGCTGAAGGAGATAGAGACATGAAAAACCCTTCAAAAAATCAGTGAATCCAGGAGCTGGTTTTTTAAGAAGATTAACAACATAGACCACTAGCCAGACTAATAAAGAAGAAAAGAGAAGAATCAAATAGACACAAGAAAAAATGATAAAGGGGATATCACCACTGATCCCACAGAAATATAAACTACCATCAGAGAATACTATAAACACCTCTAGGCAAATAAACTAGAAAATCTAGAAGAAATAGATAAATTCCTAGACACATACGCCCTCCCAAGACTAAACCAGGAAGAAGTTGAATCCCTGAATAGACCAATAACAATTTCTTAAATTGAGGCAGTAATTAATAGCCTACTAACCAAACACACACACACACACACCCAGGACCAGACAGATTCACAGCTGAATTCTACCAGAGGTACAAAGAGGAGCTGGTGCCATTGCTTCTGAAACTATTCCAAACAATACAAAAAGAGGGACTCATCCCTAACTCATTTTATGAAGCCAGCATCATTCTGATAACAAAACCTGGCAGAGACACACCAAAAAAAGAAAATTTCAGGCCAATATCCTTGATAAACATCGATGCGAAAATCCTCAATAAAATACTGGCAAACTGAATCCAGCAGCACCTCAAAAAACTTATCCACCACAATCAAGTCAGCTTCATCCCTGGAATGCAAAGCTGTTTCAACATACACAAATCAATAAACATAATCCATCACATAAGCAGAACCAATGACAAAACCACATGATTATCTCAATAGATGCAGAAAAGGCCTTTAACAAAATTCAACACCCCTTCATGCTAAAAACTCTCAATAAACTAGGTGTTGATGGAATGTATCTCAAAATAATAAGAGCTATTTATGACAAACCCACAGCCAATATCATACTGAATGGGCAAAAACTGGAAGCATTCCTTTTGAAAACTGGCACAAGACAAGGATGCCCTCTCTCACCACTCCTATTCAACATAGTATTGGAAGTTCTGCCCAGGGCAATTAGGCAAGAGAAAGAAATACAGTGTATCCAAATAGGAAGAAAAGAAGTCAAATTGTCTCTGTTCACAGATAACATGATTGTATATTTAGAAAACCCCATCGTCTCAGCCCAAAGTCTTCTTAAGCCGATAAGCAACTTCAGCAAAGTCTCAGGATATAAAATCAATGTTTGAAAATCGCAAGCATTCCTATGCACCAATAATAGACAAACAGAGAACCAAACCATGAGTGAACTCCCATTCACGATTGCTAGAAAGAGAATAAAATACCTAGGAATACAACTTACAAGTGATGTGAAGGACCTCTTCAATGAGAACTACAAACCACTGCTCAAGGAAATAAGAGAGGATACAAACAAATGGAAAAGCATTTCATGGTCATGGATAGGAAGTATCAATATCACGAAAATGGCCATACTGCCCAAAGTTATTTATAGATTCAATGCTATCCCCATCAAGCTACCACTGACTTTCTTTGCAGAATTAGAAAAAAATTAAGTTTCTTATGGAACCAAAAAAAGCCTATACAGCCAAGACAATCCTAAGCAAAAAGAACAAAAATGGAGGCATCATGCTACCTGACTTTGAGCTATACTACAAGGCTACAGTAACCAAAATAGCATGGTACTGGTACCCAAACAGATATATAGACCAATGGAACAGAACAGAGGCCTCAGAAATAACACCACACATCTACAACCATCTGATCTTTGACAAGCCTGACAAAAATAAGCAATAGGGAAAGGATTACCTATTTAATAAATGGTGTTGGGAAAACTGGCTAGCCATATGCACAAAACTGAAACTAGACCTGCTCCTTACATCTTCTACAAAAATTAACTCAAGATGGATTAAAGACTTAAAGGTAAGACTTAAAACCATAAAAACCCTAGAAGAAAACCTAGGCAATACCACTGAAGACATAGGCATGGGCAAAGACTTCATGACTAAAACACCAAAAGCAACGGCAACAAAAGCCAAAATTGACAAATGGGATCTAATTAAACTAAAGAGCTTCTGCACAGCAAAAGAAACTATCATCAGAGTCAACAGGCAACCTATAAAATGGGAGAAAATTTTTGCAATCTATCCATCTGACAAAGGGCTAATATCCAGAATCTACAAGAAACTTAAATAAATTTACAAGAAAAAAAAAACAACCCCATCAAAAAATGAGCAAAGGACATTAATAGACACTTCTCCAAAGAAGACATTTATGCAGCCAACAAATATATGAAAAAATGCTCATCATCACTGGTCATTAAAGAAATGCAAACCAAAACCACAATGAGATACCATCTCACGCCAGTTAGAATGGCGATCATTAAAAAGTCAGGAAACAACAGGTGCTGGAGAGGATGTGGAGAAATAGGACCACTTTTACACTGTTGGTGGGAGTGTAAATTAGTTCAACCATTGTTGAAGACAGTGTGGCGATTCCTCAAGGATCTAGATCCAGAAATACCATTTGACCCAGCAATCCCATTCCTGGGTATATACCCAAAGGATTATAAATCATTCTACTATAAAGACACATACACACATATGTTTATTGCAGCACTGTTTACAATAGCAACGACTTGGCACCAAGCCAAATGCCCATCATTGATAGACTGGATAAAGAAAATGTGGCACATACACACCATAGAATACTAAGCAGCCTTAAAAAAGGTTGAGTTCATGTCCTTTGCAGGGACATGGATGAAGCTGGAAACCATCATTCTCAGCAAACTAACACAGGAACAGAAAACCAAACACCACATGTTCTCACTCATGAGTGGGAGTTGAACAATGAGAACACATGGACACAGGGAGGGGAACATCATACTAGGGGGCCTATCCAGGGGAAGGGGGATTGGGGAGGGATAGCATTAGGAGAAATACCTAATGTAGATGATGAGTTGATGGGTGCAGCAAACCACCATGGCATGTGTATACATATATAACAAACCTGCATGTTCTGCACATGTATCCCAGAACTTAAAGTATAATAAAACAAACAAAAAACAAGTATCAAAAGCACCTTTCTTCTAGATTTCTTGATAACAGCTTATTTTTTTTTAATAAAATGCTGGGGATTGGTTTGAGGCCTGAATTGAAAAGGAATTGGAGGAGATATTTTAATATGAAAAAAACTTTAGAGAAAACTTTATTCCTTTGAGCTTTTTTTTGATTGTGTATAATCTGCTCCTATGATGTTAGTGGGCACGATAGTCAACAAAATTTCCTATTAATTCTATTCTGCCTGGCTTATGTCATCTTGGTATATTGAGAAAGCCGTATGTATCAAAGGTGTTCCTAGATGCAGTATGAAACTGGACTTTGCAATTTGATGACAAAATGATGCTACATTTTAGATCATTTCAGGGGAAAAACTGGTCATACTTAGATGGGGTACCGTTTATTGTACTATTATGAATGAAAATACTAGGAATCCATTGAATTCTGATTTCTTTCACTTTTAGCATTTATGTATTGTTTTGTATCACACATGTTCTTACCTATTATAACTATTATGATTTTGATGAATAAAGAGATTATCTAATATTGCAAACCCAGTACAATTTAGGTATGTTATTTACGGTTAAATTACTGACTGTTAAATGAATGAGTCATTGAATGCTACAAAGTAATTCTGTATACAGAACAAAATTCAGCATTTTTTAAGGCATAGCTCTTGTATTATTTTCCTGCTCTTATATAGATCATAACTTTAGAGGAAGCACTAAAACCAATGAGGGAAAATTCCTTTACAAAAAGTCTCCCACTTGTTAGAATCTGAACAAATCCTTGACCAGAGGATTCTCACCACAGATAAATTCTAGAATCATTACTTTGGACTCAACTTTAAGGAGCGTGGAGTGGATAGAATAGGTTCTATTCTATCCTCTGTCCTCTCTCTGTTTGGAGGTTTCACACGAGGCAAATTTTAATTTCCGTGAAATGGAATCTTCTGACTTCAACATATGATGTAGGTATATGAAATTATTTGCATGCTGACATTTGTCTCTTTCAATGGTTCAGAGATGTTTTACTTTGACATGACTCTATTTCTTCTTGTTTTCACGTGTGTGTGTGTGTGTGTGTGTATGTGTATGTATGTGTATGTGTATGTGTATGTGTGTGTGTATGTGTATGTATGTGTATGTGTATGTGTATGTGTATGTATATGTGTATGTGTGTGTGTTGAGGGGAGACCGGGTTTCTATCTCAGAAATTATTTGCTGTGCTTTCTTATTTTTCCCTTTATTTCAGTTTCACATGGTTTATGAATCCTTTACTCACACATTTTCTTTACCCATTTGAAGTAGAATATCAATAAAAAGCATTCAAAAGAATTACTAACAAAAGGCATTATAAAATAATTTTAAAAATTCAATTCAGTATGGAGTTTGCAGAAAAAATGAGAATCTGATTTATATTCTCCTTAAAAGAATCAACTACTCTCGAATTTGACAGTAGCAGAGCAAAACCATGATAAGATACAGAGAAAAAAAAATTAAAGGGAACTTTTCATTACTTCCAGTTTTCTTATCCTTGATCCAGCCTTCCAGAACAAATGTAATGCAATATTATCTTTTTGGTGTGGTCATGTTTCTTCCTAATTGAAATCTACAATTGTATTATGGTTGCATTTAGATAGATTTAATCAAATCCTACCCGGCTTTCAACATTGAGATCCAAGTTTATATCTCAAGCCCATTATGTACTGTATGAGAGTCCATCCACTAAATAAATGGATTATAGTGATCATGACACTTTTCTTTTTAAAAACAGAATATCAGATCTTCTATTGTTGACACTTCTTGAAGATAATTGGGAAACTGGGTTGCTACTTGGTCCACTGTGTAATGAAAGGCAAGGTGACTTATTCTCCACAGACTTGCAGGTTTCCAAGTATTTGTTGGACTGTAGCCACCAGGGGTAGAATTTTTAATATATTTTTTTCCTAAATGTAACATTTTCTATCAAATGAGCTAAATTATCTCTAATATCTTCATGATTATCTTATTCCATTCCATTACAGACTGGACAATTGTAGGTGGCTGTGAAACGACTTTGCCCTTTTGTCAGTAGCTGAATGAAAATTAGACCAGACTAAAGAGACAGGCTGGTGGGTGTAAACATTCAAAAACAAAAATTGCTTAAAAAGAATCAAAGGTAGTAACGATTTTCAAAGGCTGCAATTCAGCAAGAGAGATTTGAAGTCTGGAAAGGATGCAGTGGTCATATAGTAATGGAAAGTGTAGAAAACTTCAATATATTCATGGTTGGATTTTTCTTCCTTGTGAATAATGGATAGTGTTAGCAAAATATTCTTTCTTGTGTAATGGAAATAACAATTGTCTTCAATTCTTCTTCCAATTTTTATAAAATTTCAAATAGTAGCCAAATAACTAGCTATTTATGCCTCATCCTTCACCATGTAGTTTTAATCCCTGGACATAAAAATATGGTTTACCCAAAGGTGTACGGACAGGAAGAGATTCATATAGTATAGAGACACAGAAAGCCTGTAGATTAGGCTCTAGGTTTTGCATGCACCATCTGGTCTCTGTTCTCTTGAAGATGTGTATGGTTTATCAGGGTTCAGCAGGTGGAACCTCACCACCTGGGTGTGGACTGTGAGCCAGAAGATAAGATGTTCTCAACACCATAAATTTCCATTCTGCTCTGAGGGAGGGATGATTCCACATTAAAACAACAATAGTATATTGCCTGTGATGGACATTTCGTTTAGAAATATTAATTATAATGAGAATTATTTATTTCTGCTCTGAATTATTTTTACTTTTTTTGCTTGATAGTATTTGTTTTATACAAAATAGGTACATAATCCATTTATATTACAAAATTTTACAGTGACATTTAGAATGCCTATCCAAGTTCTATTTTAGTGGTCTTTCATGATCACTGTTGTAGTTATCTTTATGAATTTGTAGTCTCTAGGTGGCAGCATTTCAAGTCTTTAAAATACGTATTTTAAAGTATACCAAAAACGAGGTGTTTCTGAATGTGGCTAGTGATGTTTTGGGGAAGTGTGGCAAGAATGCCTAATTTGCTGAGAAAAATCAAGGACTGGTTGAATTTTCAGGACACATTTGTCATTAATTAAAATGAAATTGACAGGAAACCAACTGACTGCCCACAAATAAAAGAAGTTTGTGTTTTTGTTCACAGCTGGGGTTTCCAAGGATTGACAGTGTGAGTCTCCATACACCATACTCTCTAGAGTGCTGGGGGAAAGAAAACCTCCTCCAGTCATTTTTCTCAGAGTGTGTGAGTTCAAAGAGAATTCTCTGCTGCAGTGGTCTGTGTGGCTTCCTAAACAGGGACATGGCCCTGGGCTGCATGCCCAGAACAATACAAGATTGGCTGCCTGTCATTACAAGAAACATTTATTGACTGCTTATTATATGCCAGCTACAGTCTACTGACTTTACATGAACTTACGGATTTATTCTTCACGATAATCTTAACAAGTAGCCACTGCTATTCTTCATTTTGCAAATGAAATACTGAGGCTCAGAGACTGCCCAAGGTAACACAGCTGGCAAGTGGCAGCACTGGGATTTAAACTCAGCCAGGCTTACTCCACAGATTTTTTTCTTATCTACCGTGCTATACTGTAGAGTCCAAGCCAGGGAAAAGGCCTAGATTGAGAGAGCAAAGTACAGCAGCAGCTATAGTGTGGCTTTCTTGGGCTTAGGAGAGAAACATCTTTATGTTCAAGGTTTTACAAAGAATTCTTCTGAAGACTTTGAGTCTACTTTCTGACCTGACACTTCAATTCAGCTCAGCACACATTAATCGAGTGCCTCTTATGATCTAGGAATCATGCAAGGCACGAAGCACAGAAAGACAGGTAAGGTACAGATAAGACTTTACCCTAAATCTTAGAAAGATGCTCTTTACTTTACAAATGTCCTTAGATGACAATTCTTTGCCAACATTCTTGAAGCAGCAAAATGATACAGTGAAAATACAGAGCTCCAAATGCATGCTTGTTCTGTACTAGAGGTTAGACTTCCTTTTTGATCCCCTCTCAAGTCATTCAGTGAATTACAACAGATGCCAATATCAGATGAATCTGATTCATAGTGTCTTCTCTGGCTATCTGCAGCAGGCTATGTTTGTTGGAAACTGCTTATTACCCTGCTGGCTTACTGATGAGCTTCTCAGACCACAAATATGCAATAACTTTAATGAAAGAAAAAAAGTAAACTTACTTCTTCCATTCCTGTATTTTAGATTATTTTTGACTCCTGACCTGTTCTCTAAAATAGCAAATACCATATAGAAAAAGCTATCAGCTGATAAATAGTTTTGCAAAAAAAAGACATAGCAAAACTGCATCCCTAACAATGAAGGCATCATCTGAAATGATATTTACTATCAAATTTCATAAATTACATGTAACAAATAAATGAAAACCTCACACTTTAACTGTTTAGCAGAAATTGCAACTTGATTCTATGATTATTTTTTACTAATGACTAGGAGCAATTAATTAGGGAGCTCGGAAATTAGAAATGTGAGAAGAATATGTTTGCACTTAAACAATTTGTTCATAAAATGGACTTTAAAAAATTTATTATTTCCATGTCTCTAAAACCCATAGCTAAATAGTAACCTTTCTGGAAGAGATTGTTTGGGGCCATGCCATTGGGGGAAACCCAAGCACTTCATAATAATAATAACAACCATTGAATTAATATTCAATCAAGCTGTATACTAAGCTCATGCACCATCTCATTCAATCCTCCCAAACATCTGTCTTACAGAGAAGGAACTGAGGCTCAGAGAGGTTACCTTTCCAAGGTCACATAGCTGGTTGTGATAGAGTCACCAACCTGGGAGGCTTGTCTAACAAACCTATGCTCATGCCTACCTTCCCATCTCTCCGACAAAATCATTTTACAATTACTCGTTGACTGTACTTAGTACCCATTCATTCAGTATATTGGAACTATAAGCCTTTACTGACTCCGTGAATTTTTGTGGATTTATTGTGGGAAATAAATTTATTTCCCAATTATATACTCTCACTGTTCCAGATGCTTTTTCCTTTCATGACTTGTCACAGTTGTCATTTTGCAATCATTTGTATGGTGATTTCATTAGTGTCAGTATTAGCTATTTATTGGTATAGCAAATTACTCCAAAACTTTGTGGCTTAAAGCCATAATTACTTATTTTCTCTCATGGCTTCTATGGGTCAGGAATTCAGACAGGGCATGCAGGGATGCCTTGCTTCTACTCCATGATGACTGAATCCTCAGCTGGGGCTGGAATCATCTAGAGGCTTGCTCACCCAAGTGTCTGGCAGTTGATGCTGCCTGTCAGCTAGGTGTCTAGCAGAAGCTTTGGTTGGAACATCTATACATAGCCTCAGCATCAGTCCTGGGCTTTCTCACATAATGGCTGTATCCAAAGGCAGGTACCCAAGACAGAGGGAGAGCACCAATGAAGAAACTGCATTACTTGTTTGTGAGAGGGAGGAATGGGATAATTTTATTGAGGTATAATTTACATACCATATAATTCACTTATTTTAAGTGTAACATACAATTCAATGTTCCCACTTGTGCCAGATATGGTTTTATTTACACAATTTGGGTAAGCTGGTGCACATGTTTCTTGCAGCTATTTTCTTTCCTGTTGGAAGGGCTGTTGACTCATCTGTAGATTTTCTATTGCGTGGTTGTCACATTTTTTAATCTTTCATTTGTGGTTTCTCACTCTTAACTCTGTCTTGTCTTAACACAGAGATTCTGCATTTTTTGCTTGCTCTTAGGTGCTTACTTTCATCCGTGGCCATGTCTTGGCCTCTGGCTTTTGGGTATTTTTCTGTTTTTAATACCAGCCCCACATTGAAACTATTATTTTTATTTGATCTCTGGCTTCTGATCATTTTTGGGTATAGCACACTCCCTTCCTTGTTTGGCACTCTATGTGCTAGCCTTTTTCCCTTTCATTCTTTGCTTTCATTCCTGCCTGCATTATAGCTCAAGGTCTTAGAGTTTGTTCTTAAGTAGAGTATATAGGAAAATAAAAGCATAGATATTTTTCAAGATTTGTACCATTAGCATTCATGTGAATGGACACATAATTAAATAAATATCTACTCATGTTAGGATTAATGATAAAGTGAAGATAATTAGGTATTCTTGAGGTATTCCACAAGTCACTTTGACATCTCTGACGATGGGGTAGCTTATTTGAAATGGGGTCCTTGATTGGAGAAAAAGTATTTTGGGTTCCTGGGCACCATTCTCCCACACACACATATTCTGTATGTTTGTCAAGAACTTTCTTTACACATGTGACTAACCCAAAAGTAGTCATGCAAAATAACTAATAAATGTGGCTTCTGTTGTTGTCAGGCAAGGAATTTCAGCTGTAGACCCTATTGACTCATGGCTCTAAACAATTCCTCCCACTTCATTGCAAACGAAACTCTGAATTCTGATTTTGTTCAGGTGTATGACTGAAATGTGAGCAGGAAAGGTGGAGTTAAACTCACACTCCCTAGCTCTAGGCAATAAACAATGAAGTGAAAGCCTACACTCCTCCTTCACCCCTTGGGAGATGTGACATGGTGGCAAGAGCTTGGAGGTGCTGCAGCTATTTTGTGACCACGAGGGGGAACCAACAAAGTAGCAGGGAAGCCAACCTAGAGCTCTGACTTATTTTTTTCTTTTGAGATGAAACTTTGCTTTTTTTCTCTGCCTGATCTCAAACTCTTGGGCTCAAGCAATCCTTCTGCCTCAGCCTCCTGAACAGCTAAAGTAACCAACTCTGAAACTTCTTCTCCAAGGAGTCTTGGTAAGTGAGACACTAAAGTGTTATTAATGTTTAAGCCACTTTCACTCACATATTTTGTTACTTGAAGCAGAAGGGCTCCTAAATGACACAATTCCTAACTGTGAAAAGAACAAATCATATTTATCTCTGTTGGCAACAGAGTAGAAGTATACAACTACTTGCTCTCATTAACAATCTCACTATATGCTGTGCATTATTCCTAAGATTATTATAACTTATAATTTTTCCTTTGGAAATTCAGAGCTTATAATAGCGTTTGAAACTTCCAGACACCTGAGGCCATAATGACTGTGTGTTAAAGAAATATTAAGTTAAGATTATACATAAAAATGGTTTACCCAAGTTTTAGAATTTATGCTTTCATATATTAAAGGAGATAGGGAGAAAATTCTGAAGATCTGAGGAGAGGATTTAGGAAACAGAAATGTTTAGAATTGGAAACTATAACATATCTCTATGGGAGGAGCACAGACTGCTAGGCTAGGGATCATTTTGTACTGCCCAATTGTGTGCAGGACTCCCACTGGAATCAATCAGAGTCATATGCAAAAATCGATGGCAGATCTTGCCCTGAAACTGTAAATGAGGAAAGCTGAAAAATCTGAGCTATTTCTTGATATATGTCTGGGAATGCAGCAGGCTTTGGGGAGGTCAGATGCTTGATAGAAACGAATGTGCTTGAAACTCTAATATTGCTGGATAAATTAACAAGAAAGCGAGAATCCTATTCATTGTCTTTCTTTAAACTTGGAATGATTTGTTATTTTTAAAAAAAGGCCTCCAGCACTGCAATTATTATTTTTTCCAGATGGTTGAGTATTTTAATGAATAATACTCAGTCTTTGAAGAAATGGTATGAAATTAGACTTTTTTCTTTCCAATAGTCTTAGAAAAAAATTTCTTTTCTTTCAGGCCTAAACTAAACCTGTGTGCCAGAGGCTAAATTCTGTGCATGATCATTTCTGGAACAGAAATGTTAGGTGAATAAGTGCTGTACCAGCTGCTTTATGGGTAGTCTCCTTGACTACTAGAAATAGAATAAAGAAAGCAAGGTGGAACATCTGGCAACGTTAAGTGTCAAAAATCCATTTTCAAAGCCTTTTGTCATGGGGGTTCAAGGGAGTAAATAAAAGCGTTCTTCTAAGTCCTGGTATGATTCTATATGTTAAGCAGAAGTTGTGATTTATGAAGAAGAAGAAGACTTGAATCGACTAGGTAAACTAAACAGAATCTTGCTCACAGTCAGTGTTTATTAGAAGTTTGTCTTATCAGTTGTAATTGGAGAGGGAATTTTAAAAAATTTTGCTTTTAATCTTTACTCTGAACCAGGCCATCTCTGTAATTTATAATCTCATCATTTAGGGGGTAAGTGGTTACTGTATTTTTGTTGTATCTTCCTTGTGGGACACTTTTCATCATTTTTATTAGCATTTTATGACTCCATAGCATGTATTAAGTTAGTATGAGAAATTTACATTATACATTATTTTAGGGTCTACAATATGAGATCCAAGGCAATTTTGAGAAAAAGTAAAAGTATTAAAAATGATCTGAAGTTTTTTGGTCACGTGAAAGTCATAAGAGATGCTTAGTGGATAAGAGCAAAGGTGTAGACAGTCTAATATCTGTGGATGTAGCCCTCAAGAAATTTGCAGACTGTGTGACTTCTACAGTATTGTGTAGAATTTGGGGCTTTAGAGATCATGTATTCAGCTCTTTCTCTTACATATGAGGAACTGGAGGAGCTCAGAAAAAGTCCATTATCTTGTCCAGCACCATACTTTGGGTTAGTGAAACAGGAAGCGAGCCCACATCTTCTGACCCCTATTCAGAACAGAAGTCTTTAAGACTATGTCATAATATTAATTTCAGATCTCTCTAAATTTCTCCAATAGTCCACTGGAGGTCTGTCATTTTATAATTATCTATAGCCTTGTTTTTCAAGAACATTTGCAGGGTTACGGGTTCAATTAATTAACCCATCAGTACACAATATTTGCATGTGTTATTTTGTCCTAAAGCAACCTCTTTAAAATTTCCAGCTTACTTCTGGTTTCAGTGTTTTGGGATTTAGTAAATTATTGTGCAATATATTTATACTCTTTATAAGATTGCTTCTCTTGGTTTCAATGGGTTTATCAGAAAATGTTGCTATAATTGATCTCTAAGGTCCAACCCTAGAATTCTATTAATCTATATACAATTTCTATTTATTCTGTGGTTAAACTCTCCCTGGTATTAGTATGTTATTGTGTTTCTTTCATTGGAGGATAAAAGCTTTCTTTGTGTTTACTAAAATAACTTTAGACATGAATGGCTAGAAATATTTTTGGCAAGCTTCTGCTTCATCCCTGAGTTAAACTGGGGTTTAAGACTGACCAGGAGAGTAACACCATTATAGTCTTTTAGAATGCCAAGAAGTCTGGATTAAAAGTAAGTTCCCTGAGCTAACTGCTGTCTTTCGTGTTCCTTAGTGTAGGTCTCTCTTTCTGATCTCCCCGTCCTTGGATTCTCAAGTGCTAGAAATGCAGAACCATTGCTCATTCTACCTTCTCCCACACCCAACCCCCCACTTGCCTGTACTTATTGAACTGCCCTGGGGCAGGTAAGCTATGGCCTCATTCTCCAAAGTTCCTAGGGCCTTAAAGTCCTCTGTTGTCCAGAGCTCCTAGACATGTCATTTTAGTGGTACAGGTACCAGATAGATGCTCAAAGACTTCTTAGGTTGTGGTCTTGGGCCTGCACTGATGGGCTATGAACATAAATTATATCAACTGTAGGGCATGGGGTGGGAGTCAGTGCTACAGGAACTATGGGCCCTGGTTTTTCTAATGTGTCAGTGTCAGTGTGAGGGTGACTATACCGATGATGAGGGTGAAGAGAACCAAATAGTAAACACTACTGGGGAAAACTTGAAATCTGTGCTGATGAATATAAAACAAGGAGAGGAAAATCAAGGTTTAATTTGGCTATGCAAAAAATACCAATTACTTTTGTGACCTAATTTTAATTTAGATTTATTTATTGAGCAGCAAAATAATAATTGTGTATATAGCTAAATATGTCACATACATTCTATTATAAGTTTTATTGATTCCATTATTCAATTTTACTCTTGTACACTCATTCCCATAGTTGTGCAATGGGATTGTTTCAGATCTTAACAAAAAATTAAATTACATCCTAAGTTAATGGTGAGCTTAAAGGATTTGTGTGAATGTTAATGAATGCCCACCTAGGAACTGTCAGGTACATACAGGCAGATTTTGTGAAGCATTTTGGAATGGGGGACTTAAATCAAACATTATTCTTTGAACAATTTTTTTATAATACCATTTCTTGTTTGTTCCTACATGTTCATTGATAAAATAATGAAAAAAAAGAGTAGTTCTTTATGCATAATTACAAGATAGAAAGATAAGCAACAGTACCATTTTGGTGTAAAGTTTATGATTATACACACACACACACATTTTTTGGGGGAGCAAAATTGCTCTCAACATTCTACTTCTTTTGTTTTTACTTTAAAGTATTAGCTTTCCTGGGTTAATGACGGTATTGCCATAACTGACTTCATTCACCCCCAGTTCTATGAATCCTTATTTCATTTTCACTTATTTTTGTACACCAATATAAAAATTATTTTTAATTCACCATTTCATACCTAACAATGTTTTGTGAAAATTTTCATGTTCTTAAATATTACTTAATATTATTTAATGGCTTTGTATTATTCTATTGTATGTTTATATATATCATAATATTTTTCCTTAATCTTTTTTAAACATTAATTTTTCCATAATCTTTTTTATACATTAAAGGCTACTTTAAAATTTTTCCATTGCTATATTTTATGCTGTTATTGTCCTTGTACATAAACTGTTTCACACATGTCTGATGATTCATGTAGAATAAATTCCTAAGTGTGTAATTTATAGGTCAAACAGCCTCCCAAATTTATGTTTTTATAAATACAGTGAAAATGACCTCCAGAAATGATATACCAGTTTATATACTCCTGAATTTTAGCTTAGCATATTATTAAATATTTATTAATCAAGTTTAACATGATAGCACATTATTTTAATTTGCATTCCTTCCTTTAATAATGTTTTCATATACTTATTAATCACTTGTACTCTTTTGTACATTTTTGTGATTATTAATCTTCTTCATTCCTTTACATATTAACTTTTATTGTACAAATTTATTTATTTATTGTAATTGTATTACAAATTTATTTTCTTTTGTTCCTTAACACACTAGCTGTGTAATCTTGGGACAGCTATTTATCTTGCCTGTACCTCAGTGTCTTTAAAGTAGGACTGAATAATCTAGAGCACTTCTTGAGTCAATGTGTTCTGAATCTAAAAAGTGGCTCAGATTCGGGAACTGAGTGGGAGTATAACTTTTTGTCGTGCTGGCCACTCTCAGTTTCCAGCTCTTCCATTGCTTTTTATCTGGTTGTAGACATTACGCAGCACCATTGTTAGTTGCATGTCTGTTTTTCTCCTCAAGGTACAAAGCTCTCTTAACAACTCCCTGAAAGTCAAAGCCTCTAGATTACCCTCTGGCCTTGCCTGTAGTTAAGGTGTTTCTGGTGGCTTAGTACCACTACCTGAACTACTATCTTTTATTACAGGGTCCTCTCTTCCCCACAGACATGAACGAACCAGCTCTATGACCACATCTCCCATAACCAGCCCCGGCCTGCAAAGGCAGCCACCACAGAGCTTCTTAGTGATGTATCAGCGCATTCCTGATGGACGGTGTGTTACTTGGTGTTCCATTCTCCCAGTGAAACATAATTCTCTGGTCAGTATTCTGATCTTTCACGCCTTGTCTAGCATGCCCACTTCTCTCAGCCTCTTTTTTTCTTTCCTCTACCACCTGTCAGGTGACTCTGACATTTCCACCTCACTCAGCATGGGCTGTCACTTTCCTCAGATTTCCAAGAGCCACTCTGGCAACAAATGTAGCCACTCCATGAGGTTCCTGCCAGGTGGTTAAATATTGTGCCTGGAGGAAGTGATCCAAGTCAATACATCTTTGTTTATGCAGTTGTATATGCCAGCCTTCTTGACCAAAGTGCCCCATAAATGCAATACCAGAGGTACTCTCCTGTCTCTCACTGGTAAAAGATAGATATTTCTTGTAGCTTCTTTGGTGTATAGCGTACTTCCTCCCTTATCAGGCTTAACATGTGCCCGTGCAGGTTATGCTCAGATTTATTCTAGTTTTAAAGCTGCCATCCAGAAAAGAAAGTAAGGACATCTCCCAAGAGAAATACCTGTTTCTTTGCAGGGGTGGAGCCTCTGTGGCATCTCCAGCAAAAGGATTCATGTTTTTGTTTCATGGTTTTCTACCCAGGGCCCTGATCTTAGGGCAACACACCTTCCTCAACTGAGTATTGAATCATCTGTAGATCTCTGTGACTTAACTTTCCAGATCTTCAATCTGCTGCTCACTAATGTCTTGTCTTCCATTTTGTAGGCTATCAAACAGGCTAATGGCTTTCACACTTAGCCTTTAACTGCACGACAGCCCTCAGTTTCTTGTTATTCTTTTGTAGTTTATTCCTTTGTAGCAGGAACCTCCAACCTCTGTCGTCTTTACAGACACTGCTGCCCTTTGTCTTCTAAAGGCCTTCCCAAGGCACCGTTGGCGACCTTTAGCAATTCAGTGTCCTGATGCCAAGGCTACCCTGCCTCATATACCACGCAGGATGGCACCCTTTTAATGAGGCTGTGCAGGATGGCACCCTTTTAATGAGGCAGTGAGTGAGCTAGTTCCCACACCCCATCAAACTGCTTTTCTTGGACCACAAGTGGCAGGTACCATTTATGCTTGTTGAGATGTTCAAGAGGCAGGCACCAAGAAAGAATTAGACAGTGTATTAGTTTCATTTGGCTGCTCTAACTAATGACCACAAATTTAGTAGTTTTAAACAGCACAATTATTTCAGTTCTGGAGGCCAGAACTAAAATCAGTTTCTGCCTGAAATTAGTTTCACTCGTCAAGATAAAGGTGTCAGGAAAGCAGCACTCCCTCCAAAAGCTCTAGGGGATAATATTTTCCTTGCCTTTTCCAGCTTCTGCTGGCTGCTCGTGTTCCTTTGTATCACCAGAGTCTTAAAATCCCTCTCTCTCTCTCTTTCTCTCTCTCTGTCTCTGCTATTCATCACTGTAAACCAAAAATAGAATTCTAAGCCCTGCAACCATCCAAATGGATCCCTCCTCTTGGCCAAGAGCATTCCAAAGCTAACCTGAAAAACTAGCTTAGGCCACGATGGGAAAGGGCAGCTGAACAGCCCTCATTATACCCTCGTCCCTTTTGGAATTCAGGGCCAAGTAACCAGTATTAACATTAAAACAGAGACCTTAAGACTGATAGAACAGATTCTTTAAATCTGAATAAGAAACATTTACAATCTATTCGCTCTGAAGCTTGTTATCTGGAGGCTTCATCTCTATGATAACAATCTTGGTCTTCACAACCCCTCATGGTAACCCCTACATTTCTTTCTTTTGATTCCAGGTCTTTAGATAATAGCTCAACAATGGCCAGTCAGAAAATATTTGAATCCACCTATGACCTGGAAACCACCCACTCTCTCTTCCAGTTGTCCCACCTTTCTGGACCAAATCAGTGTACTTCTTACATGTATATATTGACATCTTATGTCTCCTTAAAATGTATAAAACCAAGTTGTTGCTTGAACATGTTGGGCACATGTTCCCAAGATTTCCTGAGGGGTGTGTCACAGGGCATTTGTTACTCATATTTGGCTTAGAATATCTCTTCAAATATATTACAGAGTTTGAGTTTTTTGTGGACATCACACTGCCTTCTCCTCTGTTTATATTTATGTCAAACTTCCCTCTGCCTCTCTCTTATAAGGGCAGTTGTGCTAACTGCCCTTTAGGGCCCAGCCAGATAATCCAGGATAATCTCCTCATCTCAGGATTCTCAACTAATCACATATGCAGAGATCCTTTTCCCAAATAAGATGCATTAGAAAGTTCTAGGAATTATGACCTGATATCTTTGGAGGCCATATCTGAGCCTACCACAATAGCAAGGGATTTATTGGGGAAAATAGCTCTGAAAATAAGGGAGAGAACCAGAGAAGATGGAAAAAGCCTTCAATGCAGTTCTGACATCTCTGAAATGGAGTGACAAGGAAGGGCCAATGTATATAAAGAGTTTCAGACTGCAACACAATTTCTGAAAAGTTTTGTCCAGTCTGATGAAAAGTCCTTGAGACAAAGTGCTCCATTTAAAAAGTCCTGTGTCTTCAGGAATGGGCCCGCATCAGTGGGCCCTCTGTGTAAAGTCATTGGCTAAATGCAGCCCATTGGAAGCGTGGCCTGGGCAGGATGTGGTGGTGGAGCCAGAAGGGCAAGGGCTTGAGCTGTCAGTCGTTTACACTTCCCACAGCAGTAAAGCTGAGCAATGAATTTTCATGGCCATGACATCCATCCATGTATCTCTCCATCAGATCTTGTTGCCACCAAACTTCACATTCTTAAAGGTCACCAACCAGCTGTCCAACCCATTAGCCATTAACCGATAATTAGTTTAGATTTATACCTTTCTGATTTTCCTTTTATGCTTTCCATAGATTATGCTTGAAGTTCTGTTCAGTGGATTTCCTTCCACTACTCTCTTTCCTCAAAACCTCTAAGCAGGACTATGATAAAAACAGTGTTATATTCTTGGATGGTGACAGAACACCTTGTAGTTATCCTTAAGCAAGGCCTGTGCTTTTCCCTCCTCTATCAACCTGCTATAAGGAACTTTAGATATTGATGAGGTAAAGGCGTCAAGGCAATCAGGGTATGTCCCATGGAGTCTGATTCACTAGCTTATGTGATTTACTTTGACTATCTAGACCATCTTCAGCCTGGTCCTGAGTGTACCATTTCAGTTGAAATGTGCAATGCTGCTACACATATCCAACTTTGTAATTTGGCACATTAAATAGGGCCCAGTTCATGATGGAAGCCTTGGTTCTGTAATTCATGGTGTAAGGGCTAGATACCTTGTGACTAAGCAACCATGGATTCCCATCATGATGTCTTGTGCCTCTGTCAGACCCAGTTCCAAGCTGAGATCTGGTTTCAAATGAAGGATAGTTGCGGGAAGAAAACAGCACGTCCTTTTCCCCAAATCCTGAGTCTGTGTTGTGATTTTTCTATTAATCCTTCTCTCCACCAAATACACTTCAAGTATCATCCAGTCTGCCTGCTCATAAAGCCTAAATGACAAGGCCACTCACCCCACAGCTTTGTGCTCAATGTTGAGCCTTTTCTCACCTGGGAACTCATTTAAAGCTGGGTGCTTTACATATTACCTTGTACATGGGTGGGGGCAGTGTACCCAAATATCATATATATTCTCTCTAAAATTTAAAAAGATCTACCAAGCACTGAGCCTCTTTCTTCATAGCAGGATTGCCAAGTGCAGCCAAACTTTCTCTCATCTTAGAGAGGCTATCTTGACCTGCCACAGACCATCACTCCTTTAAAAACTTCTTCTATGTGCAAGTCTCTGACTTTCGTGGAATTTATCTCACCTCCCTCTGGCATGCATATATCTTTCAAAAGCATCTATTTTTTGCTACTTCCTGATCACCAGGTCCAATTAGCATATTACCATCAATGTAATGAACCAGTATGATGCTTGTGGAATATCAAGGCAATCAAAGTCCCTCTAGGATATATTAAGACTGAGATCTGGAGAGCTGACATAGCTCTGAGTTAAAAGAGTGACAGCGAATCATTTCTAATTTTCTCGATTACTTGTTATAGAAAAGAAGATGTTTGCTGGGTCAATGACTGCATAAAAGGTGCCAAGGGTGGTGATGATTTGCTCCAATGGTGATACCACATTTGAAATAGCAGCTGCAATTGCTGTCACAACCTGATTAAGTTTATGATAATGCATAGGCATCCCTGAACATACATCTGCCTTTTGTATCAGCTAAATAGGGGAGTAAAAGGAGGATATAATAGAAATCTTCACCTCTGCCCCTCTGCACCTTTCATGTCTTTGATGATGGTATTATTCTCTGCAACATCCAGGGATGGATGTAGTATTGCTTTAAATGAGGTGAGGCTAGGGGATGGGGAAACCGGTAGAGAGCAATGAATCTGGCTTCTTACAGTAATAGCTCTGACACCATTGATTACAGAACCAATGTGCAGAAGGAAATAACCACAGAATGGGTATACAGTTGCAGTGGATCTACTGTGAGATGGACTAAAACCAAGACTCCAACTATCAACTGACCTCCACAAGACTCTTGTTTGACAAGGGTAGACTTTCTTGTCTTTGTGGGTCAACATCAGTTCAGAGTAGTATTTTTCAACATCTGAATGTTTACTTCCCTTTTCTCAGTGTACAGTTACCCTGGTACACAGCCATGTGTTCCTCTGGAGAAGGCTTGGAGGAAGAGTTTTAGTAAACATCTGTGGCCATGTTCAGGGTCTTCCTCAAGTTCTCCAACTAAGGGATTAGGGGATCTGAGAGCTAGAACTGGCTAAATGGTCTTGTATTCCCATTCCAGTGACTCACGTCAAGTTTTTGCCACTTAGAATTTTTTCACAGATACATGTCAAACAGTATTTTCATAGCTGCCCGTTTATTTTATTCCTAGGGATCTTCATACTCAATTAGCTACCACCAGAGATCCCTTTAGGTTAAAATACTTTGATTACTGCTCCGCCCCATTGGCTTATTACGGTAATTGCACACAGCTTGTCTCTGATGATTAAAGACTGCCACCTGGTTTATATCCATCTGGAAATGAAACCAGGGAGCCTAATTTTATGAAGGCATCTGCAACCATCATCTCTAGCCTAAAAAGAATAGCGCCATCGAGCTTTTTAAGAATGTTGTAGGCTGGGTGCAGTGGCTCATGCCTGTAATCCCAGGACTTTGGGAGGCCGAGGCAGGTGGATCACTTGAGGTTAGGAGTTGGAGACCAGCCTGGACAACATGGTGAAACCCTGTCTCTAATAAAAATACAAAAATTAGCTGGGTGCGGTGGCATGTGGCTGTAATCCCAGCCTCTTGGGAGGCTGTCGCTTGAACCCAGGAGGCAGAGGTTGCAGTTAGTTGAGATCACGCCACTGCACTCCAGCCTGGGCGACAGAGTGAGACTCCATCTCAAAAAAAAAAAAAAAAAATTAGAATGCTGGTCTTCTCCACCCCAGTGCATTTCCTAATATCTTGGTGAAGGAGATGTTCTCCTGGTACCAACAGGAATGGCTAGATTTGGCTAAGCAGATTGCCCGTAGTAGTTTCATTTCAACATTATCTCCCTAAGCCTTCATAGTCACTCTTTCTACTGTAGAATGCCAATGTCTGGCATCTATCTTCATCCTCTTTTTGTGTCAGCCACTGTTGAGTCCATACTTTAAATTTTATCCAGCATTTCCAGGTATTTTGTATTTGGAAACTTTTATGATTATATATATTTATAAATTGATTTAACATATTTAAACTTTTATGATTATATATTTATGTATTGATTTAATAATGTATAAATATATATTTTATATATAATTAAACATATTCATATTTATATTTTGAGATAAGGGGTCTCGCTATGTTGCCCAGCCTGATCTTGAACTTCTGGCCTCAAGGGATCCTCCCACTTCAGCCTCCCAAGTAGCTGGGATTACAGGCATAAACCACTGTACCCAGCTCTTTTCTGGTTATATATTCTGCCATAGTACAAGAAATACATTATTTCTATGATTTAAGATTAATATTTATATTATTTTGAATGCCTTCTACAGTTCATTATTTTATATCCCCCCTAACTATAAAAAGGCCTTGTTATGCTTTATCTGTTAAATATTCATTACCATATTTTTAATATTGTTTAAAGTTTTTGAGTATAACCTCCTATTATCAATTCACAAATAAATTTTTATCTAGTTTCTTTCATGTTTTTATAAACCTTTGATTCTGCTCTGCATTCTAGTGAGTTTCTTAGTATTGTCAGCCTACTTATCATTTTGACTATGTAAACTACTTTATTCCTCATTGCATTTTTTACTCCAATTGCTATATTTTATATTTACAATATCTTGAAATTTACATGTTCTTATTTTGTTTTTGTTTACTACTCAGTTTTCTGTTTTCTTCTGCTTTTAATTTAAGTGATGCCTTCACTGATCCCACTGAATATTTGCAATATATTTTAAAATGCCTTTGTCAAACTATTTTATGGGATGAATTTCACCTGGAGTGAATTCCTATACCAGTTATTAATATTGTTGGTTGCCTTTCCTAGTACTGGTATTTCTATTGTTCTTTTTTTATTGCTGTCTAAAAGTCACCACAAATGAAATGGCTTAAAATAACACATATTTATTATCCTACACTTTTCATGTTTTAGAAATCCAGAAACATCTAGCTCAGAATCTAACAAGCTGCAATTAAGGTGTCCAACAGGGCCGAAGCCTCCTCTGAGACTTGGAGTTCTCTTCCAAGCTCAAGTCATTGTTAGCAGAATTTATGTCCTTGCAGCTGTAAAACTAATGTTGGCCTGTGTCTTCAAGGCCAACAGGACTTAGGATCTTTGACTTCTTTTAAAGAACTCACCTGATGAAGTCAGGCCCATCAAGGATTCTCTCTCTTTTCATGATCTCAAGTCAATTGATTGAACTTAATTATATTTGCAAAGTGTTTGCACCTTTGCCATATAATGTAACTTAATCACCAAAGTGCCGTTAATCATATTCACAGGCTCTGCCTACACTCAAAAGGAGAGAATTACATAGGATATATCAACCAGGAAGCAGAAATCTTGAGTCATTTTAGAATTCTGCCTACCACAGATATATCATGGATTATTTTGGGGGGGAACATGACATTAATTTTCAGTGGGAGATTTTTCTTTTCTTTGCTTTCTTTACCCATCTCTGCGGAATGGTATTGCTGCTGCCTCCACTCTGCCTCTTGATTCCTAATCCAAAACCAGGTCTTGCCATTTTTTAATGCTGATTTTCCATGATGATGTTTGGAATGCTGTAGACAGAGAAAAGGTGGTGGGAGAGAGAAAGGTTTTTGGCCTTATGTCCTGATCAAGTGCTGTTCTAAGTCTTCTGCCTCCCTAAATAGAACTATAATCCCGGGTAGCACTCTGTAAGATTTTTTTTCCTTATTTTAATAATATTATTATTTATCATTTTCAAGCTTTCTTTCAGGATTTTCAGCCAAACCCAGACTTTGGCTTCCAAAAAAAACATGAGCCTGGCACTGGTTTTACATGGAGGATGGTGGTCTTCTAGTTTCCTTTGTTCCCACTGTCAACTTCTGCTGCAAAGCCTAGCCATTCTGTACATTCAGTCTCCATTGATCATTGTGCTTTTCTGTCCATTTCTAGACCATCATAATGTTTAACTGTTAAGTTGTTTAATTTTCTTCTTTTAATATTATTTTCCTGTCATTTGTACATCTCTGGAACAGAGACAGTTTTCAAAGTGTGAACTCATTATGCCATTTTCAGCCAAAAGTCCCTCAGTGTTTTTTTTTCTTATGAAATGTATTTAGTTGGTTATTATTTTGGACTCAAATTTAGCATCTTTGTGCTTTAAAGAGGTTTCAACATAAAATCATGAGGCCTACAAATTTAGAAAAGGTTAGATTTATTTCTTAAAAAGGATTATAACCTGCAGGCTGGGAAGTGGGCCTCTGGCAGGGACTGAAAACAAGTACTTCAAGGGAGGAAAGGTGAGACAGGAATTTATGCTGAAGGGGTTGGCTAAGTATATATATTAAACAGGCTATGGGAATAGCTATGAATATTCATAAACAGGGGAATGCACACAGGATAGTAACGAAATATGTATGTTACATATGTCTCATGTTCACTTTGGGGTGGAGACTTAACATTTAAATATATTACAATTAGGCCTTACACATCAAAAGGTGAAGCAGGGACATGAAGGCACTCAGTGTGCAGCTTCTGTAAACTGGCCAGAACCAGTCCATGGTTGATGGTCTCTTATCAGAAGAAAGTTACTGAAATCAGTCTTGTCCAATCAAAGCTGTAGTTATGCCTTGTGGAACAGGCAAGGAGGTCAGTCAGTGTCTGGTGGTGAATAAGCTGTGATTGGTAATATATTGCTTATCTTGAGGCTAGTGTTTGTTTAGCTGCTAGAGAAAAAGAGAAAACTTGCGGCAGTTAGCACACAGTTTATTAAGTGTGGGGGATGGGGGTGTGACTTAACCCTCGCCTAGCATGGGCTTAGGTCTCATTTATAATTTGGTATCTTATTGCCACAAGGAGTCTGTTCCATCATCCGTCTTATTATTTCTGTTTTAATGTTAATGCTTGTCAGTTGTGTTTGGGTATAATGAGGCATGTCTGACTCCCTGTTAAGTCATGGCTGGGAACACAGCTTTTAAGGTTTCTTTGGGCACCCATCGGCCAAGAGGGAGTCTGTATGGTTGGTTGGGGGGCTTAGGATTTTGTTTTTAGTTCTCAGAGGCAATATAACCCATTTACGCATATTGCATAACAAGTCGATTTGGTCTTTTTATTATATTAGCTATGCCTGAGAGTTTTGTTAGTGGGTGTGAAATGGCAATGAGAAATCTCATTCATGAGCAGTCTGATGACTAGGTTCCATCCCTCTGGATTATTGTATTTATTTTGCCCCTAAAGAATTTTTGAAATTAAAATACTTCTCCATTACTAGAAGAAAGTTGACTTTTAAAAAAAAATTAAAACAGAGAATACAAGAAAATGTCTACATGAGATTTAAATGGAGGTTAAATCTTGATCTTTCTATGAAGAACCTGCCTGAAGAAAGGCTAGCTGCTGTCTCTTCTCTAAAGACTTTTGTTGTGTGCAAGACAGTGACTTGTTTTACCTGTTTTCTCCAACTGCTACAAAAGGCTTCTAAATGCCTGTTTCTTGTACCTGATGAGTTAAGGGATTTTTAAAAAATAAACTTTTAATGTAGAAGAATTTTAGATTTATGGAAAAATTCAATACAAACACAATACAGAGAGATCCTGTTTCCTCTAAAGTTAACAACTTATACTGCCATGGTACATTTGTCAAAAAACTAATGATACTTCACTTCAACTGAATTCTAAACTTCATCCAGATTTCACATTTTTTCTTCTTTTCTGTCTCAGGATCCAATTCAGAATGCCAGATTGCATTAGTCATAATAAAGATATTTAAAAAATGAAATCACATAGATCCAAATACATTTTATTTGACAACTCTAAATCAAACTACAGCTGTGTCTAGGATATATGAGTTCAAAACATTTTCTGTGGAGAAGCTTACTATTAGGGCTATGACAACATCACACTTAAGGAAATAATTTCCACTGGTTGCCCTGATACTGTGGAGGGCAGTGAAAGTGGAGAAAAATAAAAACATCAAGGCATTGGTGTTATGTTTAGCTTTGCCTTCCAGTGGGTAAGGATTTGTCACTAATACAGAAAAGAAGTATCAGAAATTGAGGACGGGTCAAAATGACCCAAAGGAGAGTCTCAAGATGGATATCAGAGCCTTTAACACCCCAGAGGGCTGGGCTCTCTAAACTGGTTTCCCTGACTACTGGAAGACTCCTATTCAGTGGAGCTGAATGGCCAATTGTTGAACATTTGGATAAGTGATTGAGGAATGTACTATGTCTTAATACAGGGGTGTGTAGTCACTAAGGAGGCACACTCTGTTCAAAGGCCCTTAAGTAAATTAAAGATTTTCGTCACAAAGGTACAGCCTTATTTATCTGTGAAATCTTACCTGCGTCTAATTTTGAGACTCTTATTACTAGTAGCTAGGAGGGGTGGAACTTTTCAATACTAAATGCCCTTACACTTAACTGAACAAGTACAAGGTTCAGTGGACTGCATATAGCAGAACTTCAGCCTGGAGTCTGACATTCCATCACATACAGAGTCCAGTGGGGTTAAGGATTTAGGAGTGGCTTCTCTTCCTACTCTTCTCGTTCCTCCAGCTCTTCTGGCTCAGCTCCAGAGCTGCCTTGTGAAGCTTCCCCTCTCCTAGTCACTAGGAAATTCAAAGCTCCTCCTTATGACTTTCTCTGCTTTTTCTTTCTCACCTGCGGTGACCATTGATTATGGTTTTCTCCTCAGCTTCAGAGGAATTATTATTTACTTCCAGCTGTTTCTATTTTAGATAAGGCTGGGATTGTGTGGGGGTGGTTGTATTTTGGATTCTGTGGGAGAGGAAGCTGTAAAGCAATCAGACATACCACAGAGATATAGCACAGTGCACGTGTTCTGTGCATTATTATGCTAGGAGCACCTTTGTCTATTTCTCTAGGTTTAGCTGCAGTACCAAATGCCTACTTTTATTCTCCTTGCTTAGATATGCAACAGAAATCAGGAAAGAGTTTCACATTTTCTTTTTTTTTTTTTAACACTTCAAACCTTTTATTTTTATTTGAAATATAAAAATGTATACATAGTTTCAAATTAACTTTATATATTCTAATTAAAGTTTCCATAGTTATTCTTGTGTAAAAAGGATGAGTTCATGTCCTTTGTAGGGACATGGATGAAGCTGGAAACCATCATTCTCAGCAAACTATCGCAAGGACAAAAAACCAAACACCACATGTTCTCACTCATAGGTGGGAACTGAACAATGAGAACACTTGGACACAGGGTGGGGAACATCACACACTGGGGCCTGTTGTGGGGTGGGGGGAGGGGGGAGGGATAGCATTAGGAGATATACCTAATGTAAATGACGAGTTAATGGGTGCAGCACACCAACATGGCACATGTATACACATGTAACAAACCTGCACGTTGTGCACATGTACCCTAGAACTTAAAGTATATAAAAAGCAAAACAAAACAAAACTAAACTAAATGAGTACTTGGGAAAATTTGGTAATGGCAAATCATTGAAAAATGCTCAGGAATCGGGGTGTAGGTAAAACAATGATAAATCTGGAAATAATCCTTAAAATTTGGAAGGGTTCTTTACCTGCATTGCTTTACAATTAGCTTAAAATTCCCGTTTCACTTTGAAGAAATTTAAACTGGAAATCACAATTATTGTATTTTGACTGTGGAGTTTGACATTTTCTAGGAATCAGAAATGGAAAGTAGGGGTAGTGGCATGAGGATGAGGAAAAGACTTTCTTCTGCTTTACTTGTTACATGCTTTCTATTCTTCAGACTTCCCAGTTTCTCTTTTTTTCTTTCCTGTTTTGCCCATTTGGACTCTCTGTGTGTTGGCTTGTTTTTCTCTTCTGGTGAATTCGGAGGTCTACATTCTATTTTTATTGTACGAGTGGCTATTTTTGACACTTTATACCATATTTGAAGCCCTTTCTCTCTATTAATCAGTGTCGAATATGAGAGAATGTTTATTGCAGAGCTGAAATTCAAGCCTAAGCACTTTCATTCTAGCATTGTTGCTCTTAATTATTCAGCTCTTAAATGCCCATAATGCTGTTTCAACCATTTTTAAATTTAGGCTTTATTTTTAGCATTATTTCCTGTGCTTTTAATTCTTTTTAAAATTTACTTTTTGAGATGGGTTTTCACTCTGTTGCCCAGGTGGGAGTGCAGTGGCTATTCACAAACATAATTATAACTCACTGCTGTCTCGAACTCCTGGGCTCGAGAGCTCCTTATGCTTCAGTCCCCTAGTAGCTGGGATTACAGGCACCACAACACCCAGCTATCTCCTAACCTTTTAAACAAAAATCACGTAGAACAAGATTTCTTGAACAGGGGTTATATACTTTTGGATTGTAACTTGCCTATGTTTATTTTAGACAGTAAAGAATAGTTTGTTTTACTGGAATGTCTTTTATCTAGAGACTTGGAAAAGTATTGTTGAATCTTTGTTGAGATTAAACATGTGCATAGCTATGACATACATATACACATGTATGGAAATTAGCAGAATTCCAGTTCTAGTTTTTTGTGTCCATCTGTATATATCTGGGTACACTGTATGTGTATGAAAGAGAAAGAGATGTTACTTAAAAAGAAAAAATATGCAAAGCATATATGAAAAATTTGGTATTTTATGTACTCCAGAAAACAATTAGTGTTAGATTAGTATACTGGGTGAAACAAAGTGGGGCATGTCATGATGTTAAAAATCTACGCTCATTCATCCACCGTGGACTTTGTCATGGCTTTGGCAAGTCTATCAGACAGAGCAACAGGGCTGGGTAATATTTACCTAGTCTGTGGAGGTGCGTATGCTGCTTTTTTTATTCTTAAATTAAAGTTACCACTTATAAAACATTACTTCTTTTTCCCACTTTAGCTAACTCTCAACCAACAAAAGCTCAGCAGTATCAGTTGAATCCATTCAAATTTGTGCTGCAATTGTGCTTTATTAAATGCTTATTTAGAAACATATGACGTTGCTTCCTTCCATTTTCAACCAAAGTTACTTTTTCAGAGAAATATCCTCAATTGTTCATTTTTATTATTTTACTTGTCCTCCTTTACCTTACTCATTTGCCTTTCAAAATGAACATAAAAATTCTATTTCTGATGAGAACCTGGATCTGTGAAGCGCATTCACGAACAGAGTGAAAGTACGAAGCATGGTAAGAAAAATCAGAACAATATGAAATCATCATAGATTATGGTAGATGAAGACATTATCCCTAAGTTTTTCATAATAAACTTGACAATAAAGGTGATGATAGCTCTTCCCAAACACAACCACTAAATTGTTACCAAGCAGTAGTTATCAATCTAAGGAAACTTTTGATGTACTTAGATGTCAATTTAGTATAGGCTTTTATTATTGTAGAGATGCAAATGAACCTAAATCTCATGTCTTTTATGTAAGAAAACAATAAGTAATAACTTCATGAAAAAATCATTCTTTCTGTACTATTTCCAAAATAAAATGCTTTCATGGAAGGTTTTTCTGTTTTCTTTTTTCCAGTCTCCAACTTCAGATACTTCATCAGAATACATCTCAATACACATATTTTAAAATTAATTATGCCTAGAACTCTAAATTTTTAATCTTTTGATTTGCAGACCCAAGTTTTTCTTCAGAGATAAAAAGCTTTCCTTGATTAATTGTTGAACTGTTAATTTCTTCTATTCATCTTTTCTTTGAATTCCTGTTATGCATATGTTGAATATTTCACCTTTGCCTTTTTATCATTTGTATCATTTAAACTTCTCTTTCTTTTGTAGGTGATTTTTCTAACTTTTTGTCCCCTAATTAACATACTTAAACCTTCTCATAGAATACTTTCTGCTACTCTGTGTTCCAAACATTTTTTTCCTTTATTATCTTTTAACAATAAGCTATTTGAAAGAGTTCTGCTTCCAGAAATGGTAAGTTAGCTTATTCGGACAACTGAAGAACATCGAAGCAGTTGTAAAATGACTAAAGGAGTTGGAAAATTATGAACAAAGTATCTGACAAAAGGGACTGGCAGAGCTATCTTGCTAGTGAGCGCTTGCAAGGCTATGATATGAAAAGAAAGAAAGACCAGGGAGGTGTGTGTTAGACATTAGTCTTACCTTTCTCCTTCAATGCACTTGCCAGTTTGGAAGGAGTGACTGAGAGGCTTAGAAGCTATACAGAACTTCTAGGCATCTCATACTATTGGCAAATTCCAAACATTGGAATTAGGGCAACAAGTAAGTATTCTGGTAAATAAACTAGGCTTTCAGTTGGAACACCGAAGAACTTTATACTTTGAAAATAAGCATAAAGATTAACAGAGACTAGATCTCACAAAGCCTGACCTCACCTGAAAATCATTTCCATCTGTGATTAGTTTGAGGCAATATACTTCTGGACTTATTCCTGGTAAAGGCAAAGTTCATTGTGGACGAAGAAAAAAAATAATTGCATCTTCAAATGATTTCTAGATATTTCCACATATAATGTTGACACAATAATAAACAGTAAAACACAAAAGTAAAAATGACTGATTAAAAACCAAGGAAAAAACCTAAATATATCACAATGAGATGCAGATATTAAAGATAACAGACACAAATTTATAAACTACTCTGATAATATATTTAAGACATTCAATTATAAGCTGACATATTTAACCAGAGGACTAAAAATTTTAGCAAGAATTGAATGAAAATTTAAAACTAAAATAAATAAAATTAAATATTTAACTTATGGCTTTAATGGCAGATTAGATGCAGTTATAAAGAAAATTAGTGAACTGAAAAATAGTCAAAAGAACTATCCAGACCGAAACAAAGAGAGAAAAAAGGATGGAAAGAGCATACGATACATATGACATACAGTTAAAATGTCTGTACTTCGAGTCCTTGGAGGAGAGCAAAGATAATGGGACAGAAACAGTGTTGGAAGAAATAGTAGATGAAAATTTAGATTTTTTTCATGCTTCTATTAAGTTTGCTTTGTCCTGCCTTTGCTTCTTCAAGGTGATAGATACTCAATGTTTCTATCAAAAATGATTTATAGTCCAGGCATGGTGATTCATGCTTGTATTCCACAGTTTGGGAGGCCAAGGTAGGAGGATGACTGGAGGCCAGGAGGTTGAGACCAGCCAGAACAACATCATAAAACCACATCTACACAAATAAATAAAAAACTTAGCTGGGCACAGTGGTGCTTGCCTGTAGTCCCAGCTACTCAGGAGGCTGAAGTGGCAGAATTGCTTGAACCCAGGAGATCAAAGCTGCAGTGAGCCATGATTGTGCCACTGAACTCCAGCCTGAGCAACAATGTGAGGCCATGCCCTGTCTCTAAAAAATAAACAAAAAAAAAAACCAACAACCACAAAAAGGATTTAAAATAGAAAGGTTTGTAGGACAAGCTGTATTCCCTGATTGTCTTAGTCATTTCAGTCTGATATAATAAAATACCATAAACTGGGTTGCTTAAGCAACAAACATTTGTCACAGCTGTAGTCCTTTATCCCTCACCTTCCTCCTACCCTTTCCCCTAAGTCTCCAATGTCCATTGTATCATTCTTATGCCTTTGCATCTTCATAGCTTAGCTCCCACTTATAAGCGAGAAAGTACAATGTTTGATTTTCCATTGCTGGGTTACTTCACTTAGAATAGTGGTCTCCAATTCCATCCAGGTCACTGTGAATGCCATTATTTTGCTCCTTTTTATGACTGAATAGTATTCCATGGTACATATACCACAATTTCTTTATCCATTCGTTGGCTGATGAGCATTTAGGCTGCTTCCATATGAGTTGATTTCAAAGTTTATTCCACTGTGGTCTGAGGAATATCTGATATAATTTCAATTTTATTAAATTTATTGAGACTTTTTTGTGGCCTATCATATCGTTTATCTTGGAGAATGTTCCATGTGCTGATGAATAGAATGTATATTCTGCAGTTGTTGGGTAGAATGTTCTGTAAATATCTGTTAAGTCCATTTGTTCTAGGATATAGTTTATATCCATTTTTTGTTGTTGTTGTTGACTTTCTGTCTTGAAGACCTGTCTAGTGCTGTCAGTGAAGTACTGAAATCCCCCACTATTATTGCATTGCTGTTATAAATTTAGGAGCTCCAGTGTTAAGTGTATATGTATTTAGGATTGTGATATTCAAGATTATGTTGGACAAATCCTTGTATAATTATATAATGTCCCTCTTTGTCATTTTTAGCTGCTGTTGCTTTAATGTTTGTTTTGTCTGATATAAGAATAGCTACTCTTGCTTGCTTTTTGTGTCCATTTGTATGAAATATCTTTTTCCACCCCTTTACCTTAAGATTATGTGAGTCCTTATGTGTTAGGTGACTCTCTTGAAGACAGCAGATAGTTGGTTGGTTAATTCTTATCCATTCTGCCATTCTGTATCTTTCAAGTGGAGTATTTAGGCCATTTACATTCAACATTAGTATTGAGATGTGAGGTACTATTCTATTCATGATGCCATTTGTTGCCTGATTTTTAAAAAAAAAATTCAAAAAATTAAAAAAAATTTATTATGTTTTTGTTTTATAGGTCTTGTGAGATTTATGCTTTAAGGAGGTTCTATTTTGGTATATTTCAAGGATTTTTTTTCAAGATTTAAAGCTCCTTTTAGCAGTTCTTGCAGTGCTGACTTGGTAGTAGCAAATTCTCCCAGCATTTGTCTGAAACAGACTATCTTTTCTTCATTTATGAAGCTTAGTTTTTCTGGGATGCAAAATTCTTGACTGATAGTTGTTTTGTTTAAGGAGGCTGAAGATAGGGCCCCAGTCCCTTCTAGTTTGTAGGATTTCTCCTGAGAAATCTGCTGTTAATCTGATAGGTTTTCCTTTATAGGTTACCTGGTGCTTTTACTTCACAGCTCTTAAGATTGTTTCCTTCGTCTTGACTTTAGATAACCTGATGACATGTGCCTAGGTGATGATAATTTTGCAATGAATTTTCCAGGTGTTCTTTGACCTTCTTGTATTTGGATGTCTAGATCTCTTGCATCTAACAAGGCTGGTGAGGTTTTCCTCAATTATTCCCTCAAATATGTTTTCCAAACTTTTAGATTTCTCATCTTCCTCAGGAACACAAATTACCCTTAGGTTAAGCTTTGAATACCTTTTTTAAAAAATTTATTATGTTTTTGTTCTATAGGTCTTGTGAGATTTATGCTTTAAGGGGGTTCTATTTTGGTGTATTTCATAATCCCTAACTTCTTGGAGGCGTTGTTCATTTTTTTAAAAAATTCGTTTTCCTTTGTCTTTGTTGAGTTGGGTTAATTCACAAACCTTGTGTTTGAGCTCTGAAATTCTTTCTTCTGCCTGCTTGATTCTATTACTGATACTTTCCAGTACATTATGCATTTCTCTAAGTGTGTCCTTTATTTCTAGAAGGTGTAATTGTTTTTTATTTATGTTATCTATTTCACTGAAGATTTTTCCCTTCATATCTTGTATCATTTTTTGATTTGATTAAGTTGGATCTCATCTTTCTCTAGTACCTCCTTGATTAGCTGAATAATTTACCTTCTAAATTCTTTTTCTGGCAATTCAGGGATTTCTTATTGGTTTGGATCCATTGCTAGTGAGCTGGTGTGATCTTTTGGGAGTGTTAAGGGACCTTATTTTTTCATATTACCAGAATTGTTTTTCTGGTTCCTTCTCATTTGGGTAGACTATGTCAGAGGGAAGATCTGGGGCTCAAAGGCTTCTCTTCAGACTCTTTTGTCCCACAGGGTGCTCCCTTGATGTAGTACTTTTCCCCTTTTCCTAGGAATGTGGCTTCATGCGAGCCAAACTGCAGTGATTGTTATTTCTCTTCTGGGTCTAGTCACCCAGAGGAGCTACTGGGTTCCAGGATGGTACTGGGGGTTGTCTGCACACAGTCCTGTGATGTGAATTATCTTAAGGTCTCTCAGCCATGGATAGCAGCACCTGCTGTGATGGAGGTGGCAGGGGAGTAAAATAGACTCTGTGAGGGCCCTTATTTTTAGTTTTGTTTATTGAACTAGTTTTGTGCTGGTTGGCCTCCTACCAGGAGGTGGCACTTTCTTTTTCTTTTTCTTTTTCTTTTTTTTTTACTTTAAGTTCTAGGGTACATGTGCACAACATGCAGGTTTGTTACATACGTATACATGTGCCATGTTGGTGTGCTGCACCCATTAACTCGTCATTTACATTAGGTATATCTCCTAATGCAATCCCTCCCCCATCCCCCCACCCCACCACAGGCCCTGGTGTGTGATGTTCCCCACCCTGTGTCCATGTGTTCTTATTGTTCAATTCTTACCTATCACTGAGAACATGCAGTGTTTGGTTTTCTGTCCTTGTGATAGTTTGCTGAGAATGATGGTTTCCAGCTTCGTCCATGTCCCTATAAAGGACCTGAACTCATCCTTTTTTATGGATGCATAGTATTCCATGGTGAATATGTGCCACGTTTTCTTAATCCAGTCTATCATTGATGGACATTTGGGTTGGTTCCAAGTCTTTGCTATTGTGAATAGTGCCTCAATAAACATACGTGTGCATGTGTCTTTATAGCAGCATGATTTATAATCCTTTGGGTATATACCCAGTAATGGGATGGCTGGGTCAAATGGTATTTCTAGTTCTAGATCCTTGAGGAATCGCCACACTGTCTTCCACAATGGTTGAACTAGTTTACAGTCCCACCAACACTGTAAAAGTGTTCCTATTTCTCCACATCCTCTCCAGCATCTGTTGTTTCCTGACTTTTTAATGATTGCGATTCTAACTGGTATGAGATGGAATCTCATTGTGGTTTTGATTTGCATTTCTCTGATGGACAGTGATGATGAGCATTTTTTCATGTATCTGTTGGCTACATAATTATCTTCTTTTGAGAAGTGTCCATTCATATCCTTTGCCCACTTTTTGATGGGGTTGTTTGATTTTTTCTTGTAAATTTGTTTAAGTTCTTTATGGATTCTGGATATTAGCCCTTTGTCAGATGGGTAGATTATAAAAATTTTCTCCCATTCTGTAGGTTGCTTGTTCACTCTGATGGTAGTTTCTTATGCTGTGCAGAAGCTCTTTAGTTTAATTAGATCCCATTTGTCAATTTTGGCTTTTGTTGCCATTGTTTTGGTGTTTTAGTCATGAAGCCCTTGCCCATGCCTATGTCCTGAATGGTGTTGCCTAGGTTTTCTTCTAGGGTTTTTATGGTTTTAGGTCTTACATTTAAGTCTTTAAAACGTCTTGAATTGATTTTTGTATAATGTGTAAGGAAGGGATCCAGTTTCAGCTTTCTACATATGGCTAGCCAGTTTTGCCAGCACCATTTATTAAATAGGGAATCCTTTCCCCATTTCTTGTTTTTGTCAGGTTTGTCAAAGATCAGATGGTTGTAGATGTGTGGTATTATTTCTGAGTGCTCTATTCTGTTCCATTGGTCTATATCTCTGTTTTGGTACCAGTACCATGCTGTTTTGGTTACTGTGGCCTTGTAGTGTAGTTTGAAGTCAAGTAGCTTGATGCCTCCAGCTTTTTTCTTTTTGCTTAGGATTGTCTTGGCAATGTGGTCTCTTTTTTTGATTCCATATGAAATTTAAAGTAGTTTTTACCAATTCTGTGAAGAAAGTCATTGGTAGCTTGATGGGGATGGCATCGAATCTATAAATTACTTTGGGCAGTATGGCCATTTTCATGATATTGATTCTTCCTACCCATGAGCATGGAATGTTCTTCTATTTGGTTGTGTCCTCTTTTATTTCGCTGAGCAGTGGTTTGTAGTTCTCCTTGAAGAGGTCCTTCACATCCCTTGTAAGTTGGATTCCTAGGTATTTTATTCTTTTTGAAGCAATTGTGAATGGGAGTTCACTCATGATTTGGCTCTCTGTTTGTCTGTTATTAATGTGTAGGAATGCTTGTGATTTTTGCACATTGATTTTGTATCCTGAGACTTTGCTGAAGTTGCTTATCAGCTTAAAGAGATTTTGGGCTGAGACGATAGGGTTTTCTAAATAAACAATCATGTCATCTGCAAACAGGGACAATTTGACTTCCCCTTTTCCTAATTGAATACACTTTATTTCTTTCTCTTGCCGTATTGCCCTGGCCAGAACTTCCAACACTATGTTGAATAGGAATGGTGAGAGAGGGCATCCCTGTCTTGTGCCAGTTTTCAAAGGGAAGATTTCCAGTTTTTGCCCATTCAGTATGATATTGGCTGTGGGCTTGTCATAAATAGCTCTTATTATTTTGAGATACGTCCCATCAATACCTAGTTTATTGAGAGTTTTTAGCATGAAGGGTTGTTGAATTTTGTCAAAGGCCTTTTCTGCATTTATTGAGATAATCATGTGGTTTTTCTCTTTGGTTCTCTTTATATGATGGATTACGTTTATTGATTTGCGTATATTGAACCAGCCTTGCATCCCAGGAATGAAGCTAACTTGATCGGGGTGGATAAGCTTTTTGATGTGCTGCTGGATTTGGTTTGCCAGTATTTTATTGAGGATTTTTGCATTGATATTCATCAGGGATATTGGTCTAAAATTCTGTTTTTTTGTTGTGTCTCTGCCAGGCTTTGGTATCAGGATGACGTTGGCCTCATAAAATGAATTAGGGAGGATTCCCTCTTTTTCTATTGATTGGAATAGTTTCAGAAGGAATGGAACCAGCTCCTCTTTGTACCTCTGGTAGAATTTGGCTGTGAATCCGTCTGGTCCTGGAGTTTTTTTGGTTGGTAGACTATTAATTATTGCCTCAATTTCAGAACCTGTTATTGGTCTATTCAGGGATTCAGCTTCTTCCTAGTTCAGTCTTGGGAGGGTGTATGTGTCCAGGAATTCATCATTTCTTCTAGATCTTCTAGTTTATTTGCATAGAAGTGTTTATAGTATTCTCTGGTGGTAGTTTGTATTTCCATGGGATTGGTGGTGATATCCCCTTTATCATTTTTTGTTGCATGTATTTGATTCTTCTCTCTTTTCTTCTTTGTTAGTCTTGCTAGCAGTCTATCAATTTTGTCAATCTTTTCAAAGACCAGCTCCTGGATTCATTGATTTTTTGAAGGGTTTTTTGTGTCTTTATCCCCTTCAGTTCTGCTCTGATCTTAGTTATTTCTTGCTTTCTGGTAGCTTTTGAATGTGTTTGCTCTTGCTTCTCTAGTTCTTTTAATTGTGATGTTAGGGTGTCAATTTTAGATCTCTCCTGCTTTCTCTTGTGGGCATTTAGTGCTATAAATTTCCCTCAACACACTGCTTTAAATATGTCCCAGAGATTCTGGTATGTTTTGTCTTTGTTCTCATTGGTTTCAAAGAACATCTTTATTTCTGCCTTCATTTTGTTATGTACCCAGTAGTCATTCAGGAGCAGGTTGTTCAGTTTCCATGTAGTTGAGCAGTTTTGAGTGAATTTCTTAATCCTGAATTCTAGTTTGATTGCCCTGTGGTCTCAGAGACAGTTTGTTATAATTTCTGTTCTTTTACATTTGCTGAGGAGTGCTTTACTTCCAACTATGTGGTCAATTTTGGAGTAAGTGTGATGTGGTGCTAAGAAGAATGTATATTCTGTTGATTTGGGGTGGAGAGTTCTGTAGATGTCTATTAGGTCCACTTGGTGCAGAGCTGAGTTCAATTCCTGGATATCCTTGTTAACTTTCTGTCTCATTAATCTATCTAATATGACAGTGGGGTGTTAAAGTCTCCCATTATTATTGTGTGAGAGTCTAAGTCTCTTTTTAGATCTCTCAGGACTTGCTTTATGAAACTGGGTGCTCCTGTATTGGGTGCATATATATTTAGGATAGTTAGCTCTTCTTGTTGAATTGATCCCTTTACCATATGTAATGGCCTTCATTGTCTCTTTTGATCTTTGTTGGTTTAAAGTCTGTTTTATCAGAGACTAGGAGTGCAACCCCTGCTTTTTTTTTGTTTTCCATTTGCTTGGTAGATTGTCCTCTATCCCTTTATTTTGAGCCTATGTGTGTCTCTGCACATAAGATGAGTCTCCTGAATACAGCATACTGATGGGTCTTGACTCTTTGTCCAATTTGCCAGTCTGTGTCTTTTAATTGGAGCATTTAGCCCATTTACATTTAAGGTTAATATTGTTATATGTGAATTTGATCCTGTCATTATGATGTTAGCTGGTAAATTTTGCTTATTACTTGATGCAATTTCTTAGTATCTGTGGTCTTATTTGGCATGTTTTTGCAGTGGCTGGTACCAGTTTTTCCTTTCCATGTTTAGTGCTTCCTTCAAGAGGTCTTGTAAGGCAGGCCTGGTGGTGGTGACAAAATCTCTCAGCATTTGTTTGTCTGTAAATTATTTTATTTCTCCATCATTTATGAAGCTTAGTTTGGCTGGATATGAAATTCTGGGTTGAAAATTCTTTCCTTTAAGAATGTTGAATATTGGCCCCCACTCTCTTCTGGCTTGTAGAGTTTCTGCCAAGAGATCTGCTGTTAGTCTGATGGGCTTCCCTTTGTGGGTAACCCGACCTTTCTCTCTGGCTGCCCTTAACATTTTTTCCTTCATTTCAACTTTGGTGAATCTGACAACTATGTGTCTTGGAGTTGCTCTTCTCGAGGAGTATCTTTATGGTGTTCTCCATATTTCCTGAATTTGAATGTTGGCCTGCCTCACTAGGTTGGGGAAGTTTTAACTTCTTTGCGATGGGTTCGAACATCCTTCTTTAGCTCGGAGAAGTTTGTTATTACCGATCGTCTGAAGCCTTCTTCTCTCAACTCGTCAAAGTCATTCTCCATCCAGCTTTGTCCTCTTGCTGGCAAGGAGCTGCATTCCTTTGGAGGAGAAGTGGCATTCTGATTTTTAGAATTTTCAGCTTTTCTGCTCTGGTTTCTCCCCATCTTTGTGGTTTTATCTACCTTTCGTCTTTGATGATGGTGACGTACAGATGGGGTTGTGGTGTGGATGTCCTTTCTGCTTGTTAGTTTTCCTTCTAACAGTCAGGACCCTCAGCTGTAGGTCTGTTGGAGTTTGCTGGATGTCCGCTGCAGACTCTGTTTGCCTGGGTATCACCAGCAGAGGCTGCAGAACAGCAAATGTTTCTGCCTAATCCTTCCTCTGGAAGCTTCGTCTCAGAGGGGCACTCGGCCTTATGAGGTGTCAGTCACCCCCCTACTCAGAGATGCCTCCCAGTTCGGCTACTTAGGAGTCAGGGACCCACTTGAAGAGGCAGTCTGTCCGTTCTCAGATCTCAGACTCCGTGCTGGGAGAACCACTTCTCTCTTCAAAGCTGTCAGACAGGGACGTTTAAGTCTGCAGAAGTTTCTGCTGTCTTTTGTTCAGCTATGCCCTGCCCCTAAAGGTGGAGACTACAGAGGCAGGCAGGCCTCCTTGAGCTGAGGTGGGCTCCACCCAGTTCGAGCTTCCTGGCTGCTTCATTTACCTACTCAAGCCTCAGCAATGGCAGATGCCCCTCCCCCAGCCTCGCTGCCACCTTGCAGTTCTATCTCAGACTGCTGTGCTAGCAGTGAGTGAGGCTCCATGGGCGTGGGACCCTCCGAGCCAGGTGCACGATATAATCTCCTGGTGTGCCCTTTGCTAAGGCTGTTGGAAAAGTGCAGTATTAGGGTGGCAGTGTCCTGATTTTCAGGTGCTGTCTGTCATGGCTTCCCCTTGCTAGGAAAGGGAATTCTCCGACCCCTTGCACTTCCTAGATGAGGCGATGCCCCACCCTGCTCCATGGGCTGCACCCACTTGTCTGGCAAGCCCCAGTGAGATGAACCCGGTACCTCAGTTGGAAATGCAGAAATCACCTGGTCTTTTGCATCCTTCATGCTGGGAGCTGCAGACTGGAGCAGTTCCTATTTGGCCATCTTGGAACCGGGCACTTTCAAGACAGCATCAGCTATGGTAACATAGGAATGATCGGGTGGTGGGTAGGGCCCTAAATCTCCCAAGATAATATGTCCTTTTTCTTGGGCTAAAAGGGTTGGTATAGAAAGACCATCAGGTGGGGGCTGGGTTAGGCATGTCCCAGCTCAGACTCTCCTTGGGTGGGGCTTGCTGCGGCTCCTATGGGAGATGGGGGTGTTGTTCCCAAGTCAATGGAATTATGTTCTGAGGGGGATTATGGCTGCCTGTCCTGTGTCATGCAGGTTGCCAGGGATGTGGGGAAAGCCAGCAGTTACAGGTTTCACACAGCTTTCACACAGCCCTCACACAGCCCCAAAGGCCTGTTTTACTCTCACCATGCTCCCCACAACAGCACTGAGCCTGTTTCCGTGCAGCGGGTGAGCAGGCCTGAGATCTTGCCCCAGGCGACCAGCCTCCCAGCTATGAAAGCAAGCAGGGATTTCAGGTTTCCTGCCTCCCCACCTGTGGAGGCTTCTGTGCTGTGTCTGCACTCCTGATTCATTCCCTCCCCCAAGTTCTGTCCAGAAAACTTGGAGTATGGTCAAAACTGTTACGAAGTTCAGCTGGAAGTTTCCTTCTGCCTGTAGTCTTTTCCCAGTTCCTCTAGCAGCATTCCTCAAGGGCCTCTGTAAGACAAAGTCAGAAATGGCTTTCCTGGAGACTGTGAACCCACAGGGCTCTTCCCACTGCTTCCTCTACCTCTGTATTTCACTCGGCTCTCTAAAATTGTCTCAGCTTCAGGTAAGGTCAAATCCTTCTTCAGTGATCTGGACCTTCAGGTTCCCCAGTGAGGATGTGTGTTCAGGAGTGGATGATCCCCCTTTCACACTTTCACACTTTGGGCACTCATAGTTTGTAGGTTGTCTCCTGGGGCTTGCAGTAGTAATCCACTTCTTTAAAGGGTCTGTGGTTTATCTCAGCTGGCTTTTCTGCCATGTTCCTGTGGTAGTTTTTGGAGCAAAAGTTCACAATGTGAGTCTTCACATGCTGTTCTGTCCGTCTGAGGGGGAGTTGCAATTTAGTCCTGCCTCCTATCCACCATTTTCCTAACCTCTCCCTCGCCATTCTTGACTATATCTCACAGGGGACCTCTGGGAAGTCAGCCAACAAACTCATGGGTGGGTCGCAGGATGAAAGAGCCTCCAAATTACATTTTGTGATATAATTTTGAGTGGGGGTGAACTCCCTTGAACAGAATCCGGGGGTGAGCAGGAAGTGTGCTGCAGATATGAACCAGCGCAGGAGCTGGACGCCTGGTCTCATGGGCAAATGGGGAGGGTTATAACCTGAAAGCCGTGCTTGCTGTCTGTATGGGGAAGCTTATGGGCTGGGGCAGGACTGAGCTTTGTGCACAGGCTGCCTGGATCTAAATATGGGGCTGAGTGGGGCACTGCAGGAGTGAGACTGGCCTCGCTAACTGGGTGGGAGCTGGGTGACGCCTGATGCTGCTGGGTATTCCCCACTCTTTTGCAAACTTTTCTGCATAGCAGAGGCAGTTATACTCCCCCATTGAATATTACCCCCAGTAGCCTGAGAACCACCCCCATCCCCAACAGGGGCTACAGCAGGCCCTGCCCAAGGAGAGCGTGAACTCAGCCCACCTAACTCTTCCCTAACCTGATGGTATTTCTTTAACCACCCTGGTAGCTGAACACAAAGGATGTCTTAAAATTTGGGGAGTTTTATGGCCCCACCCATTGCCTCAGAAACCAGAATACTTCCCATGGACAACTTAGGGCAAGCTCAAATCCCACTGCTACTACCACAACAAGTGATCTCTTGCAGGTGCCAACTCCTGACTGGAGGTCACCAACTCAGGCCATTACAGCACCTTTTGGCAGAATAACACTGTGCCCAGGAAAGAAAAAACAGCTGCTAACACCACTGCCTGAAACACCCTGGCTAACCAGAGGTACTGAGTCTGTCCATGTGACAAGTTTGCTCTTATTAGCATAACCAGGATTGGAGAAAGCCAGTACACTAGCACTTTAAGCCTATCTACAACCATGGAATTTCACAGTCTACATCACTCCTATGCCACCTCCATCAGAGCAGGTGCTGGTATCCACTGCTGAGAGACCTGAAGACAAGTCACATCACTGGATCCTTTGCAGACATTCCACAGCACCAGCCTAGAGCCTGTTAACCCCACTGGGTGGCTAGACCCAGAGGAGCAATAGTAATCACTGCAGTCTGGCTCTCAGGAAGCCCCATTCCTAGAGAAAGGGGCAGAGCACCACATCAAGGGATCATCCTGTGGGAAAAAATTTTCAAAGGGATCACTCTGTGGGAAAAAATAATCTGAACAGCAGGTCTTGAGTCTCAGATATTTCTGCTGGTGGGAAGTTTCTCACAGTAGAGACACAATTGCAGTGTTGGGTGCGGTAGAGAAAGTATACCTCTACTCCAACAGATAGGCAGTCTCTGTGATCATGAAGGACTATAGAAAAGGGGTTCTTATTCCTCCTGGCACACCACTTCAGACACATCTGGAGCTTCTCCCATGGGAACACAGTGTGGATGCACCTATGGACAATCTTCCTGGAAGAGTT